>NC_000023.11:32588558-32738915 GCF_000001405.40 Homo sapiens
TAGGCCAAAGTATCAGAATCTGGAAAGTGACTCAGGATTTTAAGCAAAGGAGAACGATTAAACAGGCTCTTGGGAACCCACACTGACTTCAATGTGGAGATTGGATGGAAGAGCGGTAAGACTGAAGGCAAGGACTTTGGGGGCTTATGATATGGCCTATACCTTGAGAAATGTTGACAAGAACAAAGATGAAATAATAAATACAAGATAAGGTTGAGAAATATTTTGACATTGCATGCAAAGGGCTCATAAGGGAAAGGACAGGGATGAATTTGGGGATGACTCTAGGTTTCTGGTACAGGTGTCATGATAAGTGCCAGTGCAATGACAAAAATAAGAAATTCAGTAAGGAAAGCAGGTTTAAAGGAAGGCAATGTACAGTGAGGTAAGTTTCATCTTGTTGAGTTTGAAGTGTTGTTTGGACTTCAAGGATGTGTTCAGAAGATAATTAGAAGAAAATGGACTCAGGAAAGATCTGGGCAGAAGACATCCAGAGTTACCAACTTCTGTCTGCTTCTGATATTATGACATTTTGAAAAACCATAGAGAAAGTGCCTTCCTTTTTCACCATCACAATAGTGTTCATGTGCCATTTCCCTATGATTAGTTATTTTTTAATTAAATAATCGCCCACTCTACAAATATTCTTCACAGGATGCTGCCATCTGAGAAAATCCTGCTAAGATAGAGTACCAATCGTGGGCGTAAAATACAGTGTATTCAAATCAGCATAGAGTATAATTATTAGTTCATGTAATCTAGACACTATATCACAGTCTGTGATTGCATTAACTAAGAATCTGTATCATCCTTAATATCAAGCTTGTTTCAAAGTAAGCATGTGCACTCTATCTCATATGTGCTTATGTTTATGTATATGTATGTATATACATATATATACATATGCACAAAGATGTACGTATGTATATATATAGAAACATAAAGAGATGTATATAAATTTAACTATATACACATTTATACATATATTTTTATATAGACAAAATTACATGTATTTTTACACACTTACATTTATATATATTTACATTTATATCTATAGATGGGAAGTCAGACCCTTTGTATCTCAAACTAATTCAACTGATTTATACTACTTGCATTTTTAAAAAGCAGCAACATTTCGAACTATAAACATGAGTTTTCTGACTTAAAACAATAGGATGTAACATTTGTATATGATATTCTAACTCCTCAGGACATAGCTATAAACCTTCTAAGTTAATATGGGAGCAGAAATATTCCATTAACCACTCCTACAGGGGCACACTTTACACAGAGCCCCAGCTAAATCCTCAAATGGCTTCCTTCCCCAGAATTTTCAGCACGTAAATCAGATACTAGAAAGGAATATATTAAAACACAGACTCACCCACGAACACTCATAGAGAAAGATAGACTCACCTTACCAATAAACAGTATCACGCAGAGGCTTTGCTAAAAGGTTCAGGAAAATCAGAATACCTCAAATTCATTCCATTCCATTGGATCAGCCAATTTAATAAGTCTAACAAAATAATTTGTCTTAATACTACCACAAAGTATTTCTACAAATTGTTTAATGTCATCTGATATAAAGTTGGTTTACATGACTCAATTTTAGCGAATGTAGCTTAGTTCTTAGAAAACTATCTCATCTGCAAAAATTATTCCTTCAGGCAATAAATATGTTTATTAACTGCATGAGATAAGTGAGAAACCATACCAGTGAGCATGGCCTCATGTTTAATAATCTGATCCAAAATTGTGTTTTCCAGGTTTTCCTTCTTGAAAATAGAATACTTGTTGTGACGGTTAATATTATGTGTCAACTTCATGGAATTGAGGGATGCCTAGATCACTGATGAAGTATTGTTTCTTCCGGGTGTGTCTGTGAGAGTGTAGCCAAAGAAGGCTGACATGTGGACCAGTGGACTGGGAGAGGAAGGCCCACCCTCAATGTGGGTGGGCACCACCCAATCAGCTGCCAGTTAGACTAGAACAAAGCCAGGAGAACAGGGATAAAGTAGCTTGCTTGGTAAGTTTACTCACTCTCTTCCTGTGCCCTGCGGGGCAGTTGGCTTCCTCTCCTCCTGCCCTCGGACATCAGACTCCAGGACTCCAGGTTCTCCAGTCTTTGGACTGGGGGACTTACACCAGTGATTTCCCAGGGGCTCTAAGGCCTTTGGCCTCACACTGAGAGCTGCACTGTCAGCTTCTCTGGTCTTGAGGCTTTTGGACTTGGACTGCACCAGGCTACTAGGTTCTCTCTTCTCCCAGCTTGCAGATGGCGTATCATGGGACTTCACCTTGTAATCATGTGAGCCAATTCTCCATGATAAACTCCTAAATGTATATTTTATATACACATATATACATCTATCTATCCATCCATCCATCCATCCAGTGGGTTCTGTCCTTCTAGAGAACCTTAATACACTCTGTCTTTATCCATTCTTTATAATTATTTTTATTAGGAAAATCAAAATACGATATGATAGTCTTGCTATGTTGCCCAGGCTAATCTTTGAACTTCTGGGCTCAAGCAATATTCTCTCCCCAGCCTTCCAAAGTGCTGGGATTACAGGTGTGAGCCACTGTACCTAGCCTCATTCTTTTCATATACTTTTAATTCTCCAAAATATTAGGCAGTAACTTCAATATTAAAGTATTTTAACAAAATAATTCAAATGCCTTTTATATGGCAGAAATTCTCCTGGTTCTATGACCACACAGACCTTCAATACATCTATAGTTGGCTCTCAACTTTTAACTTGTACAGAATAACATACCTAAAAATAGGGTTTTAATGGTTTTGCTTTTTCTTTGGAAGACATTTTCATTAGAGCATCTTCTATAAGCTATGGGCTTAACCATGTTTCTCCTTCTTTCTTTATTAGAAACAGTTATCTCCCAAGAACAAAAGGCTTTCTTTATGGTCTTTTTATAGTCTTTTTTCATGCAAGTTTTTATAAACCACGCTCTCTTGATTTACCATTTATCCATCCTAGAAACTCTACCCACCTCCACCAATCTCACTTATGATGGCAGCAGCAGCCTGTCTGGAGCGGCCACTGCAAAGATGCCAGCTGCAGCAAGGGAGGCGTGGCCAGGGCTGTGCACTGTGTGGAGCCACCAAGGGCCAGGAACAAGCAGGAGCGCTGCTCCCTACTGAGTTGGCAGGGTGGGAGCCCCATGCTTCCAGGTGCAGCTGCAGCCACCCAGCCACAGCTCCGGACCTGGGCATTCCTGCGCTCTTGGGGGCCTGGGAAGCCCCCCTGCCTCCACATACTAAGAAGTGCCTGCTCCCACTCCCTGGCATCTCCTCGCTCCCCGCACTGGCTCCTGGGAGAAGCAAAGTTGCGGCCAAGACCAGGTGTTGTCGCAACCTGACTGGTTATGTGTGTGCTCGGGACAGTGCTGGCATGCCAGCCCCCTGCTGCCTTGCGCCCGTCTGGACTTTGGGCACTGATGAGCATGGGAGAGAGGCTGAGTGGGGACTGAGGATGGTTCGGTGTGGGCCTGCAGGTACCCCTTGGTATAAACTGCCTAGGCTACATGGATGGCATGTTGATGGTGGCAGGAGGCAGACTGGCTCCTGGGCAGAAAGGAGCAGATCCACAGAGAAACCCCTCCTTCAAGCCAAGAATGGCCTGAAGCCTGGGGGCTGGGCTGCCAGTTCTGGGTGGAGTTTGTGGCCCAGAATGAGAACTTATGGTGCTTTTTCTGGGCCTATCCATGGATGTCCATGGACCAATTAGAATGTACCTCCTCCCTTCCGAGCCCATAAAAACCCCAGACTCAGACAAACTTAGACATTGGGACTACCAGCCGCAGGAAGGAGCTACCTACTTTGTGTCTCCTTGACTCTTCAGGATGACCTGCCTGCATAAAGGAGCCACCCACCATGGGTCTCCTCTCTACTCACAGCTGCACACTCCCTGGGACGACCTGCCTGTGGAAAGGAGCTACCCACCGTGGTATCCTGAGAGCTGTTCTCTCGCTCAATGAAGCTCCTCTGCACCTTGCTCACCCTCCAGTTGTCCATGTACCTCATTCTTCCTGGACATGGGACAAGAACTCAGGACTTGCTGAATGGCAGGACAAAAAGAGCTGTAACACAAACAGGGCTGAAACATGCCCCCCACTCACCATGCTATGGGCAATGAGAAACAGAGAAGAGCTGTGGCCTTTTGCAGAGCCCAGACCTTGGGGCTCCTCAAGCCAGGGTTGTGGCATGCTGTAACATGCTCCTTGGGGCTCTGTGGTTCCTGGTGTCTCTGAGCTTTCAGGTGCCACCGCGATCCCCTGTCCAGACATTGGTGCCTGCAGCAGAAGCTACTTGTGGTACATCTGGTCCAGCCACAGCCTCACATGGAGCTGCCACCAGTACTGGTGCCTGTAGCTGCCTTCCGCTGCAGCTGGCATGCCTGTCTGTGCACAGTGGCCAGGCCTCATGCTCGCTTGCTCACATACCTCTTACTGCTCTGTGCCTGGCTTGCCCTTGGCAGGCATGGGGATCCGGGCCAGTAGTGCAAGCCAAGCACAGCCTGCCAGGCTGAGTGGGTGCAAGGAGCCCAGCGGGCACAAGCAAAACCCAGACAGAGGTGCTGCCGGCCACAGAGGTTTCTGGCTGGCAAAGTGACACCCAAGGATCCCATGACACTTACATGCACACTTTATCCATTTTCCTCCAATGTATGATTTAGATCTTAGCTTAAAGAAAACTTTCCTCAGGAATCATCTGTTGCGTTCAAAGTTCAGTCTAAGTCAGAGTAATTTCCTGTCACAAAAGCTTATTTTTTGCCTTTATAAATAAGTTGCATCCATTCTTTAACATTTGCTCATTTTTAAAAATACTTTATTAATGTCTATTTTTATACTGGATTGCATGTACCAAGAGCGCAGTTCCCATGCCTACCTGCCTATCATAGTGACCATGGATGACAAGGAATTAGCATTCTACTACAAAGAGGGAGACTGAGATATAGTCACCATTGTTCCAGGGTTCCAAGGAAGGCAGTAGGCTCTCAAATTACCCATCGCAACCAGGGTAGATAGTGACAAATTCTTTTTTTTAACTGTCTTACCTGGTTACCCAACACAATCCCTGGGACATAGTAAGAACATAACGAGTACTTGTTGAAAAAAATTCAAATGGGATGTGGAATGCTTAGAAAGAGATGTGGTAATGACCTCTAAAACTGAAGACTATATAAATGACCAATTTTAGTTATAAAATTTAGTTTATAAAAATATTTCTCAATCAAATAAGTTAACTGGCATCACTGCCTATGAAACAGACTCTCTACGCACTGACATCCTGGAAGCCTCTAAAGTTAAGGACAAGACTCTAATCTGCAGTAACATTGCTGAGGGACAAGCTGAACCTTTGAGAGAAAGAATCTAATTATCGGAGAGCACACTTTTCAGAATATTACACTTCATAAGCTATGTCATCTTTCAGAAACTCTAAGCATATATTCTGACCTGTCTTTGGTTTTCTTCAAACCTTTTCCAAAGAAGACTCTAAAGGTATTTTAAAGTTAGAGAAATCCTAAAATATCATCATAATAGAATTTACAGAATAAATCAATACATGCAGATATATCCTATTGGAAGTATTTTTAGAGTTCTAACTCAGGGTGTTAAGTATGCATCTCTCTTCCTTATTGGACTAAATGGGGACTTCCCTTCCTACTTTCCCCCATCTGTACCTCTTTACCAAAGACAGCTGGCTATCCTTTTTGAGCCTCTGGATGGCATTTCAACAGAATTTTAGTGCAATGGATGAAGGAATTGTGGTGATGAGGGATGCCAGGGCGAAGGAAGAGAAGGCGTGAGATGGGCACTCAACACTAATAGGTTTTGAGGAATAAGTTAAGGATAGCCAGACTCTGCTCTAATAAAAAGCCTGCTAAGATCCTTCTCTGAGTCCTGATGATTGTTTTTCTTTTAGGGGATCCAAATACCTGTTTCTCTTTCCTGTAATTCTTCTAATTACGTCTACCAGAATCCCTCTCAGTCCAGTATTAAACATATTAAAGTCCACAGTCTCTGAAGCTACCCTAGAATTATAATATACCCAGGGTATTTGTGTTAAATTTTTTTATGTTTTTATACTTTATCAATCTTTTAATACTTTATGATTTCTCCTTACTCCTCCTTCTGTACCATCTTCTCGTCCTCTTCTTCTTGCTTTTAAAAAGTAAACTAGGTAAGACAAGATTATATCACTTGCAAAGAACCTAAGAATCATCTCTGTTTCAAAGTCAAATGGAAGCAGAGCATTCCACGACAATTCCAGCCAATAGTTAAATAAAGTATAGAACTCAAGCATGGATTCTTTTGGGACTGAAGGAACTGATGGGATGGAATCAAAGAAAAGTTATAGCAAGGGCTTTCTCTCCACTTGATTCCTTTTAATGCTGCCCTTTTAGATACTAGTCTAGATTATCTTAAAGTCACATGACACTACAGAGCTATATAGAGGCAAAATGAGAACATCAAAAGAGGAAAGAAGATTGAAGACAAAAGAGGAGGCTGGAAGGCAGTAGCCATTAAAGGGGTATGCAATCATGGACAAATGCAGATAGAGTTTAAGCAAATTAGGGATAATCAGTACATTTACCGATATTTAGTAGATGTCTTTGGGCCAAAGAAATAAAGGCAGAAAATAAGGTGAAAATGAAAGCAAGTAGAAAACAAATACAGAAGAGTATAGGCCCACCATACAACCATCTGTGAGTTCTACGGACTGTTTTTCAAGATGCCTTAACCACACAAGCATCACCTTGGATGAATTATATTGAAAAGCTATTCACACTGGGTCAGCTAATGATGAAATGGGTGCTTTCAATTGTTATTTTAAATGGAAATACTCCATGCCTTAGAAAAATGTCTGCATTTAAATTTTTTTTAACCAGTAACCTCCCTTCAACCCCTGCTTCCCAGCCTTATTTAATATTAATTGAAATTTTCTGGTAAAGTATTAGATTTTACCCATCCGCAGTTAGTTACTATTGTATCAGAATTATGGAATTCTTTAAATCACAGCACTTCAGCTGATTATGAGTGTGTGTATATTGTACACATATTGTATTCTAAGTATTTTAATATATAAATTGCATTCTAAATTTTTAAAATACTTTTCAAGTTATAGTTCTTTTAAAGGACATATTTAGTTTACTAAGCAAAATAATCTGACCTTAAGTTGTTCTTCCAAAGCAGCAGTTGCGTGATCTCCACTAGATTCATCAACTACCACCACCATGTGAGTGAGAGAATTGACCCTGACTTGTTCTTGTTCTAGATCTTCTTGAAGCACCTGAAAGATAAAATGTTTTAAAGGAAATTAAAATGATATTCTTACATGTGTGTTGAAATGATTTGCTCTCAAATGGTGAAATTTATTTCTGCTACATCTCAGGTACTCCCATTTTTTATTAACCTAAAACCATTCCAAGCCAATTTTCTGCTATGACGCTCAGCAAAATTTATATGTTCTATTGTTAATTTAACTGGAAAGTATCTAGAGAAGACAAATGTTAAGAAAGGTACAGCAGGATGTTCTCCTTCTCATCCCACCCCCTTTCTCCCTTTCAAGGACTTTTTTCCTACAACTATCAGCACTTCTGGCATTTTCAGGCTCTTCTTCTCTACTGAACTTCTCCATTACCATAAAAATAAAACAAACTCTTGATCCAACAAACCGGTCCTCCTACTGTCCTATTATGTGTTCCTCTTCACTGAAAAAAAAAAAAACAAATGTATCCTATAGTTACTGTGCCTACATATTTATCCTACTATTCACTTTGCCCACTAACCCATTGAAATATCTTTTGTAAAGGACACCATCAACTTTCATGTTCCTAAATTCAATAACCATTTGTTATAGCGTCTTACTTGACATGTTGATTACTAACCTAATTGGCCACTCCCTCATTCTTGACACCTTCTCTTGATTACCCTCCTACCTATGTGCTACTTTTTTTATTTTTTTTTTCTATTTTGGAGACGGATTCTCACTGTGTCACCCAGGGTGGAATGCCAATGGCATGATCTCGGCTCACTGCAAACTCCACCTACCGGGTTCAAGGGATTCTCCTGCCTCAGCCTCCCGAGTAGCTGAGATTACAGGTGCACACCACCACGCCCAGCTAATTTTTTGTATTTTCAGTTGAGACGGGATTTCACCACGTTGGCCAGGCTGCTCTCAAACTCCTGACCTCAGGTAATCTACCCACCTCAGCCTCCCAAAGTGCTGAGATTACAAACGTGAGCCACTGTGCCTGGCCTATACACTACTTTTTAGCTCCTTTACTCGTTTTTTCCCTTCCGCTCAAACTACAAATCAGATGTCAGTCCGATTTATAAAAACCAATAGATTTCTATCATACTAAGAAAGAAAATTTAACTTCTCTACCTGAAATTCTTATATGATCTAGCACCTGACTACCTCACCAGTCTAATTGTATACCATTCTCGCCCTCACAGTGTTTCAGAATGACTTGCTTTGTCTCTCTTCCAAAAATGTGTCAAGCTGTTCCCTCTACCAGGATTGCTTTTCTTCCAGATGTTTAAATCATTTCTTTATCATTCAGGACTCAATGTAAGTGTCACCTACCTAGAGCAGCTTTTCATGAGCAAACTATCCAATGTTGCTCCCTAGTAATTCACCATTTCTGTCATTTTTTTAATCATAGTATTGTCACTACTCAATAATTTCTTATGTATCAGCTTAGTCCTTTTGTCTCTACTTACTATAATAGGCAGTCCACTAGAACAGAGATGCCCTCTGTCCTTCTCACTATGTATTACAAGCAAATAAAGATCAATAAACATTTGTCAGATAAATGGTACCATGTGGGGGTTTGGGGAAAACATGCACAGATGAGTTTGTTCCTTCCTGATTGCACAAAGATTACAATATAATAGGAAGAATTAGTGATTTTTGGTGTAATCACAATTACACTAACCTCAACAGAAAATAACCACTTGGTCTCAACTGAACCCTAGGATAAAACCAGAATAATTCAAATACTGCCTTTCTAACTTACAAATGTGGCTCTGAAAAAATCATTTCCCCCTATTAAGTGAGGCTGTCACAAAACAGTATTTCCAATCTTTTTAAAAACATGATGTACAATTATTTTGTAATGATGAACAGGGGTAAACACAGGAATAAATTAGGGGTAAACAAAGGAGGCTGCTCTAGAACCAAGGTATGTTGCCTGGGTGCTCCAGATCCCATAAGACCTTACCCTGTTACACTATTTATTATTGGGATTTCTCTGAATAGCTATTTGAGACTTCTAGGCAACTACTTTGTTTCTTAGAACATTTTGTTACATAACACAAGAGTGGAGAAACAAGTTTGGGACATTTCCCGTTACTTTCTGGCAAACGTGCTGTCCCTACTTGCAAAACAACAGTGCTTAGCACCTATCAGTCTAGCTCTTAGGTATTCAAACTCTATGGCAGGTGGAAGGGAACTTATTAGGATGGCTGAATCACAATCTCAAATGCATGAGCATTTTTATCCTAGGCTTCTTATTTTCGAAGCCTCAACATTTTAGAACACTATAAAATCACTTCTTTTTACTTCGTCTCTCTAGATTTTCATACTACATTTTCAAGTGAAGCAATTTAGAATAAAATGACTATGCATCTATTTTGTGTGTGCAATCTATACTGCCTATCATGCCTTTGACATTCCAGAGCTTATAATGGTTAATAAAACTCTTTTTGCCATGAGGCCAAAAATGGAAACATTAAAATTCAGAGTTGTCCTTGACAGTCATGTTGAGTCTGTGTTTTCTGAGTTATATAAGACAGGACTGGGAACATTTTGAAGGTGTCAGCCGGGAATGTTTCAAATAATAATTAAAATGATAATTTGGTGGCCAGTGTATCATAAGTTGGTTTTCTGAATTTAGTCAATTCTTTTCTGTCCTTCAATGAGTATATATAATTACATATATTACAAAATTACAAGTAAATAATGCCAGTTTTCATTTTTACATGTAAATTGCTTTTTCACAATTTTAATATATTTTACTTAAGAAGTGTAAGAAAAACATTGGATCCATGGAATGAATCCAACTCTTATTGAGTCTTTTAAAGTCTATGTGATCAAACGTACTATATTCTCCATTACTTAGTTGTTCTGATTTTGTTTCGTTCATCTATTTGTTTTATAATTGGAAATGGCATTCTTGCCATATTGATCAAGGGTTTATATTTTATGCTTGGCAGAAGTGCTAACGTAAAGTACCACTAAAGAGAGTTGTGAGATGATAGCATTAAAATCTAACACAAGAACCCTCTGGACTTACGGTGAGTACAAGGAAATAAAGGAGTGGGGAAAGGCTCTCTACAGTGACTAAGAACGTTGAAGAGTCCAGAGTGCTGGAGTAGATTTGCATAAGGTACATTTGATTTAATGTTATTTCCAGTATCTCTTCTCCTCTATGACTTTTTAAAATTGTATTTCTTCTTTCTCAGCTAATTAGGAATTAAACTAAAAAAGGTTAAACTGACTTTTTTGAGCACACTAAATAGCTGTAAGACAAAAGCTATGGTAAAACAGTAAGCACGTCTCCTATTTTCTCAGACTTCAAATGCGAAATAAATATTAGTGAATATAACTGTATTAGCTAATCTCCTTAATATCAGCAAAATACAGATTATGAACTATGCAACGTTCAGGGTTTACTTTTACACTGATTCTTACAAGTAGCAGAAACGCCAGACATAAAAAGCTGGAGTTAAAAAGTTCAATTGTTCTGCCAAACTAGGAATCCATGAATAAAGGCCTTGATCATTGGGGTAAAGAATGCCTGCCTGTTTCTCCAGTTGGAAAGAAATGAATTCTCAAGAGTATTTAAAAAAAATAATATGCTAAAGTGTTGTAAGGCTATATTTAATTACAATTTTAAATACTGACTTCTTATGGATTTCAATTTGTCATAGATGAATTTATACAACGGAGATTTATATTGGATTTGCTAATTAAGCCTGAAATATGAGCCAAATAGTTTCCAAATATAGATGCATCCCTAGAGAAGTACACAAAAATGTTTGTCTGTCAGAAAATAATACCTTCAAATTAAAATATTGTAATATAATATTGTTAAAATGTTTTCCTTTATTAAAAGCTTCCAGATTGTACATACACATACACATATATACACACATACTAGGTACTTTATTATGCATTTATTTTCATTATTTTATTAAAGGAATGCTTTTGTAACACTTACCAGATTTCAAACATCTATCATGTTCCTAGTTAAATTTCATTACCATTATTAGATACAAATGTTACCAATGTTTGTTGTCAAATGTCAAATAATGTATTTTTTTCTTTATGACAAGAGAAAAGGCCAACAGTGAGATGTAACATTAAGAATGCCTAGATTGGACAAACAGTTTTTGTTATACCTCTGTGAATAATTGTATTTCTTCTAAATAAGTCTCTAGTTAAAGGGCTTAACAAAATTTGTTACTCCCTTAGTACATGTTCCCAATTTTATTATTTAAACCTGACTTTTCTTGTACTTCTTTTAAATGCCATCAGTGATACTGAATTCTTCTGGCTCTTGTCCATGTCAAGTTGGTTTTCAAAAGTGGCTTAGAAAAACCACTGGAGAGCCACTTCAGTGTTTATTCTAGATCTATGCTATTTTACCCTTTCTTAGAACACATGTAAAATAATACTTAGGAAATAAAGACATGGAATTATGTAAGGCTAGGGAAATTTTTGATTTGATGTTTAAAGGTGAAGAGCAATAATTAATCGAAAGGCAGTATAATAGAAAACAAAAACAAGGATGGGTATCCTGTAAATTCGATGGGAGAAGCTTTTGTTTTACTTGTCTATTTCTTTTGGCCATAGCATAGACTCAGCTATGGAAAGAACAGGAAAAGAACAGCTGTTACCTATATGTAAAGTTTTTTTTTTTTTTAACTACTCCTCCGACTTCATTGAATACCCAACAGCTAATTGCCGGTACTTGCAGGTCACACACACACAAACACGCACACGCACACACACACACACACACACACACAAAACACACCCCTAGAAACAACACAGAACGCTGTTCATCATGAATTGGAAGGCAATCTATTGTCTCCAAAAATGACTTTAAAATTAATATATTTAGATGTTTAATTACAAATATTCAGTAGTTTGTAGTTTATCTCAATAAATGCACACATAAGGAAAGACTAACGAGAAAAAAATTGTAGCAAACATAAAATTTGCAAAGGACATTAAGAATTCAGAAGGTTCTAGGAATAGAGTTGAGTCTAACATCCAGGAAAGAAGTATCTTAAAAAAGCTGTCTCATGAACAAAAAAATCCCTAGATACTAATGATCATGTTAATTCAAGACATCTGGACAGGAATTGACTTTTTTTCAAATAAAAACTTCAAGTACAGATCAGAAAGTGTTAGGATTTCTTGGGAAATGATGGGGTGGTAGGTAATTTATTTTTTTCACTCTTTTCCTCTATGCCCCATTCCTTCTACCACCTCTACACTGGGCTAGGCTCTATATCCCTTGCTGGCCTGAATGATATGATCTGGAAAGGACTTTCGATTTTATTTGCAGTGAAATATTCACTTTGCTAAGCCTGGCTGGTCACAGTATTGTCTAGCTTTCCATGAAGATCTATTTACGGTATATAACTTTGTTATAAATTTGCTGAATATTTTAAATAATCTTCCTCAACAGGCTACCCTAGAAAAGCTTTTGATATTCACTTACTTAAATGTGATTGAATATCTTTATTAGTTCTTATATCAGAACACACTGATTTTATCTTTTTGTTAGAAATGAATGTTTATGTTTCTGCCAACTCCTAAGCTACCAAATGGGGGTTCTGAAAGACTGTTTCAATGGAGAGATTTGAAAGGCTATACAAGCACACTAAATGCTTCTCAATAGCCTGAAGGGGACTCAATAAATACGAAAAGAAACTGTTTTAAAAATAAAGTAGACAATTAATGTACTCCTACATATGGAAAAGGACATAGGATGAAATAGATTGACCAAAACTTGTGCATGACTATGAGGAGACAGTAAAACTGTAGTCAAAAGTGTAGCATCTGAAATCAGATTTTCTATGTGTAATTCCTGGAAGCATCAATAACCAATCACGTGACTTTGAGAAAGTCATCAACCACACCAAGCCTCAGCTTCCTAATTTGTAAAACTAAGATAATAAAACTGCCTATTTCTTTATGTGGTTAAGAAGATTGAATAAGGTAAAACTGTTTTGCATTTTGCCTGGAAAACAATATAAATTCCAAAAATATTAGCATCTAATTAGTTGAAAGAATTCATATTTAGCCATATTTATATCAAAGTTTTGAAACTAAACTGCAATGACCTAACCTAATACTAATCTATTTTACCCTCATCTAATACATTCTGACTATCATCCTTTCTAATAGACATCATAAGTGCAGGAAGAGAATGTGATTTTTGAAAAGTCATGAAAACAAGTGAAGTTACAGCAAAGTTTTAAGGTCTGGAGAAATATACAGTAAGTGTTAAATCCTTAAATAATACCTGAACTTCCAATTTATTTACACTACATTAATAAAAGTAGGTTCAAACTACCTCATCTGATGGTTATCACAGAAAAATTTGCATGGGCAGACATATGTCATGGAGTGAGGACAGTCCCTAATCACGAAATGGTAGCCCTCAATTCTCTTGCCTTTCCTACTCTTTCTACAATCCATGCATGCACCCACCCATACATTCTGCATATAGTTACAGAATTAAAATCAGATTAAAAACCAATAACATTGAATAAATAATTATAAAATGCCTTTACTGAAAATAATTATTGAAAAAGAAAAGAAGATTATTGGGAGAGAGTTGGGGTGGAAAGTTTCAGGCAGAGCACAGAGGAAATGCTATGCATTGTGCTGCTAACAGAATATAGTTGTGAAATTCAGTTCCAATGATTATCCTCCTGCTCAGACGGTATTGCCATTCTTATCATAAGCCTATATTCCTGTTTCCCTTATAGTCTCTTTTTCCTCTATTTTAAAGAACTACAGGAGTAATGGTGATGAATTATTTCATTAAGCATTTTGATTCTGAGTATTTAATGTGTAGCTACCACTACTGCTTACTCTATGTTTGAAGACTCATATGCACACAGTCTCTGTACCTTCTATCTAGACATTCCCAATCCTGGGAATCCAAATGCCACAACATCTTCAAATCTCTTTGTCACTTCTCTGCAACTGCTCTAGTCTCTAGGATCTCAGGTGGAGTCAAGCTTCACTGGAATCTCAAAATGGAGAGAAATGGTCTCAAAGGCAGACAGGTCAAAGTTAAAATCAGAATCTACCAATTAATACTGAAGTTACCTTGAACAACTCCTTAAACTCTTTGAACACATCTATTTGTCTGTAAAATCAAGTATTAATATCCTTCCAGGCCAGACACTTACAGAACATTCTATTCTACCACCACAGAATGTACATTATTCTCATCTGCACGTGGATCATTATCAAAAATTGAAAATGTGCTAGGCCACAAGGTGGTTCTTAACACATTTTTAAAAAAATCAAAATCATATCAAGCATCTTCTTGCACCACAGTGGAAAAAAACTAGAAATGAGTACCAAGAAGACTCCTTAAATCTATACAAATACATGGAAATTAAACAACCTGCTCCTGAATGATCTTTGGACAATGAAATCAAGGAAGAAATTAAAACTTTTTGAAACAAATAAAAAGAGACATACAACATACCTCCACCTCTGGGATACAGCAAAAGCAGTCCTAAGATGGAAATTTATAGCATTAACTGCCTACACCAAAAAGATAGAAAGATCTAAAATTAGCAAACTAATATTGTACTTCAATGAACTAGAAAACCAAGAACAAACCGAAACCAAAGCTAGCAGAATATAAGAAATAACAATGATCAGAGCAGAACTAAATGAAACTGAGATAATAAAAGACAAAAAATTAAAAAAATTAGAGAGTTTTCTTTGAAAAGATAAACAAAATTAATAGGCCACTAGCTAGATTAACCAAGAAAAAAACAGAAGAATCAAATAAGCAAAGTCAGAGATGATAGATGTGACGTTACAACTGATACCATAGAAATACGAAAGATTATCAGACTACTATGGGCATCTCTAGGTACACAAATTAGAAAATCTGGAGGAAATGAATAAATTCCTGGATACATATCAACTCCCAAAATTGAACCACAAGAAGCAAAAATCTTGGACAGACCAATAACAAATAGTGAAACTGAATCAGTAATAAATATCTCCCAATAAAATAAAGCTCAGGACCAGACGTATTCACAGCCGAATTCTACCAGACATGCAAAGAACTGGTACCAATCCTATTGTAACTGTTGCAAAATATCAAACAAGAGGAAATTCTCCCTAATTAATTCTACGAAGCCAGTATCACCATGATACCAAAGGCAGGTAAGGACACAACAAAAAGGAAACCACAGGCCAATATCCCTGATGAACATAGATGCAAAAATCCTCAACAGAATGCTAGCAAACCAAACCCAAAAGCATAACAAAAAGATAATACATGACAATAACGTGAGCTTTATGCCAGGTAGGCAGGGATATATGCAGAGCAATATCTGTGATTCACCACATAACACAATATATGTTTTGTGTGGTGCAATATATGCAGAGCAATATATGTGATTCACCACATAAAAAGAATTAAAAACAAAAAACATATGATCATCTCAATAGATGCAGAAAAGGCATTTGATAAAATCCAGCCTCTCCCCAAGATAAAGACCCTCAACAACTAGGCATTGAAAGAACATATCTCAAAATAACAAAAGTCATATATGACAAACCAAGAGCCAACATCATACTAAACAGGAACATGTTGAGAGCACCCCCCTCCCCCAAGAACTACAACAAGACAAGGATACCCATTTTCACTGCTCCAATTCAACATAGTACTGGAAGTCCTAGCTAGAGCAATCAGGCAAGAGAAAGAAATAAAAGGCATCCAAATTGGGAAAAAGAAAGTCAAATGATTTCTCTTCACTGATGATAGGATTTTACATCTAGAAAACCCTTAAGACTCCTCCAAAAGGACCCTATATTTGATAAATGACTTCAGTAAAGTTTCAGGATATGAAATCAATGTACAAAATTGGTAGCATTTCTATACACCAATAATGATCAAGCTGAGAACCAAATCAAGAACTCAATCTCATTTACAACAACTACAAAAAAAAAAAATACCTAGGAATGCCTTTAAACAAAAAAGTGAAAGGTGTCTACAAGGAGAACTACAAAACACCCATGAAATAAATCATAGATGACACAAACAAATGGAAAAACTTTCCCTGCTCATGGATTGGGAGCATCAATATTGTTAAAATAACCACACTGCTCAAAGCAATTTACAGATTGAACACAGTCCTTATAAATTACCAACATCATTTTTCACAGAATTAGAAAAAGATAGTAAAATACATAGAGAATCAAAAAAGAGCCCAAATAGTCAAAGCAATGCTAAGCAAGAAGAATAAAGTTGAAGGCATCACATTACCTGACTTCAAATTATACTAAAAGGCTACAGTAACCAAAACAGTATGGTACTGGTATAAAAACAGATACATATAGATTGATTTAACCAAATTAAGAACCCAGATATAAAACCACATATCTATGACCAACACATCTTTAACAAAGTAAAAAAATGTATATATACACTGGGGAAAGGACATCCTATTCAGTAAATTGTGCTGTAAATATTGGATAGTCATAAGCAGAAGAATGAAACTGGGTCATAAATCACCATATACAAAAATTAACTCAAAATGTATTAAAGACTTAAATGTAAGACCTGAAAATATAAAAATCCTAAAAGAAAACCTAGGAAAAACTCTTCTCGACACTGGCTTGGGCAAAGAATTTATGACTAAGTACTCAAAAACAAAAGTAGACAAATGGAACTTAATTTTAAAATCTTCTGAACAGCAAAAACAAACAAACAAAAAAACAAAAAACAATCAACAGAATGAACAGACAACTTATAGAATGGAAAACAATTCCGAACTATACATCTAACAAAAAACTAATATCTAGAATCTAAAAGTAACTCAACAAGAAGAAAAATAGATAACCCCATTAAAAAGTAGGCAAAGGACATTAGCAGACATTTTTTAAAAGAAGATATACAAGTGGCCAACAAACATATGAGAAAATGCTCAACATCACTAATCATCAGAGAAATGCAAATTAAAACCACAAGGAGATATGATCTCACACCAATCAGTATGGCTATTATTTGTTTTTTTCAATGTCATTTAAAAATTTGTGGGTACAGAGTAGGTGTATTTGTGGGGTACATGAGATGTTTTGATACAGGCATGCAAAGTGAAATAATCACATCATGGAGAATTTAGTATCTATCACCTTAAGCATTTGTCCTTTGTCTTACAAGCAACCTAATTATATGCTTTCACAGTTATTGTAAAATGTACAAGTTATTATTGACCATAGTTACTGTATGATATGATCAAATATTATGTCTTTTCATTCTTTCTAACTGTAATTTTTGTACCCAATAACCATCCCCACCTCCCTTCCACCACCCTTCCCAGTCTCTGATAACCATCCTTCTACTCTCTATTTCCATGACTTCAATTGTTTTAATTTTTAGATCCCACAAATAAGTCAGAACATAAGAGATGTTTGTCTTTCTGTGCCTGGCTTATTTCACTTAACATAACGATCTCTAGTTCCATCCACATTGTTCCAAATGACAGTATCTCATTTTTTTAAGGGGATACCTGTCATTAAAAAAGTCAAACAACAACAGGTGTTGGCAAGGATGTGGAGAAAAGAAAATGTTTATTCACTCTTGGTGGGAATGTAAGTTAATATAAACATTATGTAAAACAGTATGGAGATTTCTCAAAGAACTTAAAACACAACTATTGGATCCTGCAATCCTAGTACTGGGTATATACTCAACAAAAACAACAAAAAGTGTTACATGAAAAAGCTACCTGCAGTTGTATGTTTATCATAGCACTATTTACAATAGCAAAGAATCAACCTAAGCGTCCATCAGTAAATGATTGGATAAAGAAAATGTGATATGCACATGTATATATGTGTGTATATACGCATATATATATATATATATATACACACACACATACATATATATACACACATATATACACACACACCACAGAACACTACACAGCCTAAGAAAGTATGAAATCCTGTCTTTTGCAGTTACATGAATAGGAACTATAGGCCATTATCCTAAGTGAAGTAACTTGGAAACAGAAACCTAAATGCAACATGTTCTCGCTTATAAGAAGAAACTAAACAAAGGGTACACACGGACATCTAGAGTGGAATAATATAAACTGGAAACTACAAAAGATTATAGGCTGGTAGGGGGGTGAGGGGTGAAAAATTACCTATTGAGTATAGTGTTCGCTATTCAGATTATGGATATACTAAAATCCCAGACTCCACCACTACACGATATATCCATGTAACAAACCTGCACATGCACCCCCTCAATCTATTTTAAAACTTCTTCTAAGACATGCTTATTACTAGAGTTAAATGAGACAATACATTAACTTCAGCTTGTACAGTGCTTAGATTTGGTAGGTGGTGAGGAAATGCTTATTTTCTTTCATTTCTGACGTATTCACATTATCCTTGCATTCTTACACTGAGATTCATGGAAATAGCCCTTTTGAGCATCACTATTTATTTCTAATAACTTGGTAATCACATTATATTTCCATTATTAAATATCCTCAGTGTGCCAAAACTGTAGACCATTATGTAAAAATAGTTTAGTGCTTTTTTAGTCTTACTAGATATGACTTAGATAAAAATTTAATTGTTAAAGGATACAGTATCATTACTTCCAATGAATAAGAGAGTACTACCAGATGTACCAGTAGAAATCTACTAGTATTAGAAATCCACTAGAAATTCTGTTCATAACAGAAATATTAAACAGGATAGTTCTCCATATTCTTCAGAAAAAGTATCATATTCAACCTTATATTTTAACACGGGATTGGATTTACGGACATGCATTTTGTTATAAGATACGGTCATACATTTGATAAGGAAAATTATTGCCTTAAAATTCATGTTATCATGTGTGTCTTAGCTTTCTTGTAAGGTTTCCCTAAAATGCATTTTAAAATGTTTTTTATAATTAGTTTATCTACATTATTAATTTTGTATTACCTATACGAAAGAACTGAAATTGATTGTTACAGTACTGGTTCAGAGAGAGAGAGACATTTTACATGAGACTAACTCAGTAAATTAGAAATAGGGTACTTATTTTTTTCCTTTAAACACCATTGGAGAGGTCAGTGTCTTCTCATGAGGAAGTATTACAAGAGTAATGAAGTATAATAACTAATGTTAGTGCCTCTAAGATGACAGAGTCTTGATCAGGTATAATTTTCGTAGCTATACCGATATACTGTCAAACAAAGCTGTGACATTCTAAGTAATGTTACTGAATCAATACTCAGTAATTTCTAATAAAGTAAATAATAATCTGATAGCTAGAAATACTTGATTTGTAAAATAAGAATATGGGCATGGATTTTATATTATTATTATTTTAATAATCTATAGCATTACTGTGCAAATATACCCTTGGAATATGATGCTTGTTAATAGAATTCTTATGGGATATTAGATGTCTTCTCAATTCGATTTTAAAAATTGTAACTGAATATCATGCACATACTACTACGTAGACTATAAAAGTGTGATGTTCTTTTTTACATAAACTTCCAATCATTTATGTCAAAATAATACTACCACTCAAACCAATTTCATAGTCAATGGTTTAGCACTATTAAGATATTTGCATATGGGAATGCAACAGAGATAGAAGGAAAAAAGGAAAGTCAGAGATTGAAGACACCAGAGATAACATCACCAGGTAAGCCACTTTACAGATGTATTTTTCTACAGCTTTATGAATTTTTTTTTGCTGTATGCCCAACGTTTTAATTGAAATTATCAAACTTTCATGCCCTTGTCAGAAAGTTAGCCATGATGGAGACGATTTGGATAATAAAACTAGTCAATATAATCAGAACATGTGTTCTAAAAACATTTACTGAGCATCAATTATTGACTAAGCACTCTGAAAACACAAAAGAAATCTGGCTCTCTGGTTATAATACAGTATTTTTTCAGATTATAGTGTTTATCCCCCTTACCATCATAACCATTAAACTTTCATTAAGCACTTATGAGGGCAAAAGACAGGAAATAAAATGAAACTTCATAGCAGAAACAAACAACATGTAATTTTAACCTTGCTAAATATGAGAGTGAGTTTGCTAACCACTAAAAGCACCACTTGATCCTATGGCACTGTCAAACTTAACTGAATCACTTATCCTTCTTCCAACTATTGCATTTCTCTTTTTCACTGCCTATTTTCTTAATTACCAATCTCAAGTCCCAATTGCCCAGTCCCAGAATCTATTACTTTGAGCTTTTTGTTCATATCCTAAATCTAGTCCTATTGGTTTTGATTTGATATCCAGAATGCTTTGTACCTGTTTACAATTTTTGTTGTCATTGCTTTCATTCAGGCTCTATATACTTTCAGCAATATCCTCTTAACATGTTTTCCGGCCTCCTGTTTCTCTGCTCTTTTATTTATCCTCAAAAAATATCTTCTTAAATATTAAGATAAGTTTTCCTAAATTGCTGCTATTTCTAGTTTAATTTCTCATGAATAATGGTTTCCTGTTACTCATAGAACTACTACTGCAAATGCCTGAGTCTTTTATATAAGACTCATGATCACCCTCCATGATCAGGCTTAAATCCTCCAGCATTCAGTATAGTACAAGACATCGTAAATGATTGGTTTCTGCATTCTTCACAGCACCCATGTGCTATAATGAGGGTTTGTTCAGTGATATGGAATAGAATGCAATGGAATGAAATGAAATGTCAGATCCTTTGGCAGAATTATACCTAATCCTTCTCTGTAACATGAACATCTAGATCATTTTAAAGGTCACCAGATGAGGATATTTCACAATCTTGGCAACCCAAATGTCTGCCTTTAACTAACCTTCAAGAAAAGGATAGGTGACTGAGTTTCTAAGAGGCTACTTAGTTTGTATTAATCAGTATTTCACATATAACCTTCACTGAAGTCAGAATATAGAGTATATATTCACATCGGCAAATTCTTGTAATTTGTAAAGTCTTTGTTGATGCTGTCACCAAGGTTATGCATCTATGCACAAAAGTCTAAATCTCTCAAAAGAATGGAAAACCTAGCTAGTAAACTCAGCTTTAAACTTCATCGCAGTCTCACTGTGCCAGGAGACAAAAGATTTCACTGTTAAATATTTTCCTTTTGAAAAAAATGCCTCCAAAATGGCAAACTTCTTTACTATTAATGAAAGCTCAAGGCTTTTCCTCCTCAATAGCATCATGCCACTCCTTCGAGGGAAATCCTTTCATTCTTTGTCAACATCACTAATAAATTCTACCCCTTAAGACAAAAAAGACCAGCTAGAATTATATGTGATATATTTTTTCACAGGGGAATGAGAGGTTCGATTTGTTTACTCCCCAGAAAGACTCACTCTTGGGTGCCTCAAAGCTAAAGCAAACCTCTAAATTCTCTCCCTACAGCAATGTCTATGAAGGATGAGTGGTTTCTCCCAAATGGTGCAGCCAATTGAACTTTTCTTGGTTACCCAGAGTAAAGAGTTTGGCTAGATTTAATAGTAACCACCATATAGGATCAATTGCTTTACCTTACCTAATTGCCAGGTTCAGTAAAAGTGACTTATCTTCCTGACATTTCACAGTGTCTGAATTTCTAGCCTGCCTCATAATAAAATGCTGTTGAAATGAAGATAGCAAAGGATCCTGTCACAGAATATACAGAAGCATATCTGTAATATTCACAGTGTACTTGCAAGATTTGCAAACATTTTAATCTTGCCCTCCAGTTGAGAGAGAGAGAGCAGGCGACCTCTGATCTGAGCAGAATTTAAATCAATTCCCAGCAATAAAATCTGTATCTTTTCTTTAATTTTGTCATCTGCAATCATCTTTAAGAAAAAATGGTGATGGCACAAGGATTTAATGTCTATCTACACAAAGCTAAAAATAAATATTATATTAGGTTAGAAGTTTGGTGATGCAGCAGATGGGAGTTGCTTTTGTGGGGACTCTAAGGTTACTGATGCATTTTGTTGTCAGAAGGAGAAATTTCCTTACTTTCAATGATTTACAATTCTTGGGAAAAAAAGCTGCAAAGCGATTCAACGACTATATAAATAAGGCTTTAGTTTGAACTCAGTTACCCAAAGAAGTAACATTTATTTTCTTTTGTTTTATGAAGTGTGGCAAGACTAACAAAACAGTGTTCCTTTAATTCTGTATGTATGCTCCTTTTAGTCTTAAAAGACAATATAATGTACATGTTTCAGGTTTAAATAAAGTCAACTCTTTGCTAAATTGTTTGATGTTAAGTCACCTTCTTCTCGCCAAAATTGTTGCCAAGAAACAAAAGAGCATTATCAATATTCAGGACTTGAATATGAATCTTTCCCTTAATTTTTATAAAAAAAAAATCTGTCAAATATTTCAAAAAATATTGTCAAATCTGTCAAAAAAAAGAGTGCTCAAATAGTTAAAAGTAGGAGTTGGCCTTACTCTCTGAGCCAGAAAACCAATGCCTTCTGGCCTCTTTATGCCCTTTAAATAAATAAATAATGCCTGGAGGTAAAATGTTACATAATCAACTTGCATATACTCCTGTTGCCTTCTTTTGTTTCACATTTTTTCTTCAAGGCAATTTCATAGTCATTAGAAATGGCATACTTTCAAGTAATGAATAATATATTTAAATTTTATGACAATATTTGTCAAACGTTTTCCATTTCATTCACATTATATCTTTCAGAAAAAACTACAAAACATTTCAGGTACCTGGCAGAATATTAAGATCCTGGATAGCTTGTCTCACCTTAATGAAGAGTCTGTTCAGCGTCCCAAGCTAAGAACTTCCTTCATAGCTGCCCTAGGTTATCCGTACTTAGCTATGCTAACATTCTTCTTCTACTGCTCTTTTGGAGCTCTTCTCCCTGGATTTCGCTTTACACTCCAGGCATCCAGCAGCAGTGTCCTGCCTTCTGATGTTCAGTGTTACGTGGCCTAATCTTGGCCTTTTCTAAAATACTTCAACTTCCAAAAGTATTGGACACATTTAAACTGTGACTGGAAGGAACACTAGAAACAAACTCACTCTTTTATTTCCAAAGTAAAGATACAGAGAACCTGGGACATTAAGTGATGTTTGGAAAATGACAATTTAGTTAGTGGTAGAACTGGAGCTCGAATTCTGGCTTCTAGTGGGAGAAGTTTGTCTTGGGTTAGATTCCTCCAAAAACACATCCTGAACAAAAGATTTGTGAACAAATAAATGGTTTATTTGGAGGGTGAACTCGTAAGGCATTATGAGAGCACGGGGACGTTCAGGAAGTTACCCTGTGGATACCTGGAGCTCAGTCTTACTGGGGAATCTCTGAAAGACTGTGGAGAATATACCTTAGAAATGTCCCACTATGGGACAAAGATTCTACAGGATTTCTCTATCAACTTTTACTCCTCATTGGCTAAGGGCAGCTCTGGTGGCACTAATTCCACTTCCTGTCCACCTTCAAACTGGCTGAAATGGTTCTGCACCAGAAATACCCTCCGGTAGAGAGAAGCCATTGCTGTACATCAACCTTGTCCAATCCATGACCCAGGATGGCTTTCAATGTGGCCCAACACAAATTTGTAAACTTTCTTAAAATATTTTTTCAATTATTTCTTTTAGTTCACCAGCTATCATTAGTGTTAGTATATTTTATGTGTGGCCCAAGACAATTCTTCCAATGTCGCCCAGGGAAGCCAACGGGTTGGACACCCCTGGTTTATATAGACACTTTCTGCATGTAACTTCCAGTGTAGGCCAAGGGAAAGAGGGCAGATATAGTGTCAACGAGAGAAGCAAATGTGCCACATCGGAAAAGCGGTACGGTTAGAGAACTAGCACTGTACCTAACTTCTTCTTCAGGTGCTCAATTAGTATCTATATGACAAGTAATCACAGTTACAATTTCTACATAATTGCAATACAGTTGATGTTTTTTTCCTGATGGCATAGCAGACGGGGATTACCATAGTTACAGTTCTTCTTAAATGCTAGATCTTAGAGGACTCCTGGGGGTCAATAATAGTAAGGGCTGGCCCCATTTGTCATTCAAAACTGAAGCTCATTAAACTTAAAAAAAACTCTAGAACTTAGAAATAAATGTATCTTTCATTTGCATGGAAGAACTGTAAAGCTATATATGACTGAATATTATAAAAAGAGAGAATTAAGTTTGACAAAAGGCAGATTTCGAAGGTATGAGGTAAAGGAGCAGATATTCCTATTCAAAGCCATAAATCCAAAAACCACAGATCATAAGTAGAGTTGCCAGATAAAATAAAAGACACTCAGCAAAATGTGAATTTCAGATAAACAATGAACAATTTGGGACACACACTAAGAAAATTATTTGTTGTTTATCTGAAATTTACATTTAAGTAGGCTTCTTTTATTTGTGTCTGCTAAATGTGGCAACCCTAATCCTGGGACAATTACAAAGGATCTTGTGTGTGTGTGTGTTTCCTCATGAATTGAGCAGGAGCCTATTTCAACAATAAAACTCAGAGCTAATTGTAATATTTTATGGCACTTATTAAAATAAAGCACCCTCATAATTTTGGATAAGAAATATTATTGTAGAAGTCTCAATAACAGAAACAAAAAAAAATGCTTTCTGGCAGCGAGGGAGCATAACTGGAAATGTACAAGTAAACTGAAGAAAAAAGATGGAAATATTAACATTTAAAAAATGTCATATTCTATAGAAAAGCAATGCTTCAGACTCTCATTTATCATCAAGCTTGGCCAGCTTCAATTTACTATAAATTGAATGTAAAATTACATTAAAAAAAATCGTAGCCTTATTATTTAAATTTGCATTACAAGTAATCCCTATGAAGTCTGTCTTCCAGGAAAGCAAATTTTTAATAAATCACATACCCTGCGTTGTTCTCATCCACAAATATGTTTGATTTCTTTTCCAAATACGAAAAGCCTAGCTATGCTGTATTTTTTAAAAAAACAACAACAAATGTCTTAATCCATTTTGTGCTGCTGTAACAAAAATAACTGAGAATGAGGTAATTTAGGAAGAATGTACCTTTATTTTTTCACAGTTCTCGAGTTTGGGAAATCCAAGATCAAGATGTTAGCATCTGGTGAGGGCCTTTTCACAGAGTTTTCACATGGTGGTGCATGGTGGAGGGTCAAGAGATAGGAGAACACTGTGTGAAGCCTCTTTTATATGGGACTTGATCCTATTCTTAAGGGAGGAGCCCTGATGGATTATTCACCCTTAAATATTCCATCTCCTAATACAATCACCTGAATTTTGGAGGGGACTTATTCAAGCCATTGCAACAAAGATTGCAAAAACAATTAGGTAAAAATAATTTTTAAAATATGGCTGACTTTAAGTTTTAATTCTCTCCCATCAACCATGTCATCTGTGTTACTGTGTATAGGTACTATACACAGAGTTTGCTTTCTAGTAGAAAGCACGCAACATAAGATACACCTACCTTATGTTGTTGTACTTGGCGTTTTAGGTCTTCAAGATCAGGTCCAAGAGGCTCTTCCTCCATTTTCCTTGTTCTTTCTTCTGTTTTTGTTAGCCAGTCATTCAACTCTTTCAGTTTCTGATTCTGGAGATCCATTAAAACTCTATGTAAACTGAAAATTTGAAAGAAGCCTATTATGACCTCTTTGAAAGCAACTTATTACTGAACATCACAATGTAAAACAATAGAATTTATAATATATGGAATGTTCGCATTTGGGGGCATCTATTGGACATTGAGAAGGATGTAAGTAAAGCCCACTATCAGTCACCCCGGAACTATTATTTCTCAGACTTATAATAGTTCACAAATCCTGATTTCTAAAAACTTTCACATAGTCAACTAAATGTGAACATGCTAACTGAAGTGCAAAGCATCTGATAATTGACTAAGTAGTATATTTTGGCAGTTGTTCGTTTACATTCTCATTATTTAGTATGTGTGGTGGTTAAAGATGGCCACAAATTCTTTGTCACTTTTCCCTTCAAGAGATGAGGTCTATTTTCCATCCCTGTGAATATGATCTGGACTTGTGTTTTTTTTTTTGACCACAGAATGTGGCATAACTGACACCACACCAATTCCAAGTGTAGGCTATAAAAGAACTGGCAGCATTTGTATTTCTTCCTCTCTTGAAGCCTAGATTCCATGCTGTAAAGGAGGCCAGGCTACACTACCGAATCATTAGAGACCATATAGGAGTGATTCTGCAGGATAAAATACTGTATTAGAAGTGAGCTTCCAGCTCAGCACAGCCCAAGGGGTGACCCCCAGCTATAAAACTAGTAATATAAAAACAACCTGGCTGAGCCCTGCTTATATTCTCGGTCTTCAGATCATGACGCAATTATAAATTGTTTTAACCCATTAAGTTTGGACGTCATTTGATACACACAAATAGACTAGAGAAAGGGTGCTTTTTCCCCACAAAGATATAGAAAATAGTGGGCTGGGTAATGAATTTAAAGTCCAAAGGCCTAGGTTCACAGCCCAGCGGTAAGCTCTACAACCAGGTTCTTAAACGTTCTCAATTACATTTCCAGCATCAGGGACATGGGATAATGTTTTGCCTATTAATTACACAACTTTATGTTGAGGATGAAAACACATTATTGTTCATTCATTAATTCAACCAAAATTTGAGATGCAAATGAGAAGTGCTGATGGTTATTTTAAAGGAAATACTCTTTATAAACATCATGTTTAAAGCATTTTTCAAAACTATATTCTGAACATTGATCTTATAATTTGAATTAGGAATATGTTATTTTGAATACATAATTTTACTCTAAAATCTTTACTGGAAGTTTCCATTAATCATCACATTTAAACACACAAAGTGCACACATAGCTGAGAGTGTTTTTTAACAGATTTAATTTTTTGGCTGTTTTAGATTCACGAAAAATTAATGAGATTATAATACAAAGAGTTATCATATAACTTGCACTCAGTCTCCCGTTTTATTAACATCTTATGTTATTATGGAACATCTCTTACAATTAATGAACCAATATTTGTGCATTAGCTGGAGACTATTATTATATTCTGATTTCCTTAAACTATTTTTTGTATTTCAGTATCTCTCCAAGGATTCCATATTACACTCAATTGTCCTGTTTCCTTAATCTGCTTTTGGCTATGACAGTTTCTCAGAATTTTTCTGGCAGTTTTTAAAAGTGCTGGCCAGGCTGGTATTTTGTAGTATGCCTCTCAGTGGGGATTTGTCTGATTTTTTTTCCTCATAATTAAACTGGGGTTTTTGAAAGACCACAGAAGTAATGGGCCATTTTAAGCACATTTTATAAAGCATATATACCCTCAACGTGACTTATCAATGTTAAATGTGACCACCTGGCTAAAGTAATAGGTGTCATGTTTATCCACTATAAAGTTACTCTTTCCCCCTCTTTTCACACTGTTTTTTAATAAGAAAGTCACTATACACAGCCCCTGTGGAGTGGGGAGTTACATTCCCTCTCCGTGAGGGCAGAGAAGTTACATAAGTTTTTGGAGTTTTTTCTGCATTGGAGATTTGTCTCTATTCCTCCATTTATTTATGAAATTATTTATTTACATAGCATGGACTCATGTATAGTTATTTGATACTTTGGGCTAAATCCAATACTAGTTTTTGCTTTGGATTTTTGCTCAAATAGTTCCAGCTTTGGACATTGGGAAGTCTCTTAGTTGGCTTCTTTGACACATCCCATCAGTGTTTTTTGTTTAGAGCGAGACCGTGGAGTTTAGCATGTTCTTACTATCTGGCACTACCAAATGTTCCAGGCTCATTTTCTATATTCCCTTTCCTAGTGTTAGAATCAGCTGTTTCTCCACAGTGTTCTGGTTCCTTTTTTTTTTTTTTTTTTTTTTTTTCTTTAAAGAATGTTACTGAAACCCAAGATCCTGTTGCTAGGTATGCTCCTTGCTTCTAGGGTGTTGTAGCTTACAGGACCTCTGGGTTGACATAAAGAAGTGGATGTGTGAGTGTGTACTCACCCATAAATACTTCTATATATAATTATCTCATCTGTATTAACCTAATATTAATTTATCCATCTCTCTCCACCTTGTGACTTCTGTTCCTTATCTGTGAACTACCTCTTCAACTTTTTTTTGAACTACCTCTTCAACATTTTGAGTTATAAGAAACTCAAAAATGATTTCTTTAAACTAGAAGTTGAGATGACCGCTGTTCATGTTTGGCTCCTCATGCTGCTGAATCCACAGACAGAGAAAGGGGTTACCATACAGAACCTAAGCACAAATGGTCAACTGAGTTCACCCAATACAATGCGGGGCAAGTAGTACTACATTAGAAAACTATGGGCATTTGCCAGGAGTCTCTTAGTATACCCATATATGATAGTGTTAACCAATAAAAAAAACAGAAGATACTCGATCAATATGGAAACACTAATAATATGGTTCTTTGGAAGGATGTTTTTTATTTCCCACTAAGGTCAAAGTACGCAACTAGAAGAAATTCTGCCATAGTAACCAAGACAGCATTGTATTAGCATAAAAACTGATCAGTGGAACATAATAGAGAACCCAGGAATAAATTAATGCATTTGCATTCAACTGATTTTGGACATGGGTGTCAAGAACACACCGTGAGGACAGGACACCCTCTTCAGCAAATGCTACCAGGAAAAGTAAGAATCTACATGCAGAAGAATGAAATTAGACCCTTATCCCTTGCCACATACAAAAACCAATTTGAAATGGATTAAAAACTTAAATTTAAGACTCAAAACTCTCAATCTATTAGTAGAAAACATAGAGGACAAGCTTCATCACAATTATTTGGGCAATAACTTTTGAATATGACTGTAAAAGCACAAGCAACAAAAGCAAAAATAGACTGAGGACTTATACCAAACTAAAAATTTCTGCACAGCAAAAAAATTAAAATTAAAATTAAAAATTAACAGAGTAAAGAGATATCCAATAGAATGAGAAAAATATTTGCAAACTATATATCTGATGGGGGTTCATATAAAAATATGGAAGAAATTCAACCAACTCCATAGCAAGAAAACAAATAACCTGATTAAAAATAGGCAAAAGACCAAAATAGACATTTATCATAAAAGGGACAAATGGATAACACAGATATGAAAAAATGCTCAACAGCACTAATCATCTGGGAAATGCAAATTAAAACCACAATGAGGTATCAGCTTACTTGCAAAGAAAAGGGAACACTTATACACTGTTTGTGGGAGTGTAAATTATTTCAACTATTGTTGAAAACAGTGTGGTGATTCCACAAAGACCTCAAAACAGAACTACCATTGGACCCAGCAATCCTATTATTGTGTATACACTTAAAGGAATATAAATCATTCTACCAAAAAGACACATGCACACATATGTTCGTGGCAGCACTATTCACAATCACAAAGACAATCAACCTAAATGCTTATCAGTGGTAAACTGGATAAAGAAAATGTGGTAAACACATACCATGGAATACTATGCGGCCATGAAAAAGAGTAAGATTATGTTCTTTGCAGAAACGTAGATGAAGCTGGAGGCCATTATCCTTAGCAAAATAACGCAGAAACAGAAAACCAAATACACCACGTTCTCACTTATAAGTGGGAGCTAAATGATGAGAACACATGGGCACATAGAGGGAAACAACAGACATGGGGCCTATTGGAGTTTGGAGGGTGGCAGAAGGAAAGAATTAGGAAAAAATAACTAATGAGTACTAAGCTTATACCTGGTGATGAAATAATCTGTACAATAAACTTCCATGACACAAGTTTACCCATGTAACAAAACTGCACATGTACCCTTGCACCTAAAAGTTAAAATATAATAGTAATTAACGATATCTTTGTCAAAAGAAAAAAGAAGAGATTATCACCTCACTTTTGTTAGCATGGCTACTATCCAAAACAAAAAAAGATAAATGTTGATAACGATTTAGGAAAAAGGCATGTATTACGTACCTGCAAAAGTTAAAAATTACTAATTAAAAAAAAGAAAACCTTTACACACTGTAAATGGGAATGGCAATCAGTACAGGCATCATGGAAAACAGTATGAAGGCTCCTTGAAATATGAACAACAAAACTACAATATGATACAAAATCCCACTATGAATTATATATACAAAGGAAATGAAATCAGTATGTCAAAGAAATATCTGCACTACCATTTTTATTGCAGCACTATTCATGGCCAAGATATGGAATCAATCCAAATATCCACCAACATATGAACGGATAAAGAAAATGTGGTATACATATATACAATGGAATACTATTCAGCCATAAAAAAGAATAAAATACTGTCATTTGCAACAACATGGATGAACCTGGAGGATATTATGTTAAGTGAAATAAGCCAGTAAAGAAAGAAAACCACTGCCTAATTTCACTTATATGTGGAATCTAAAAGAGCTGATCCCACAGAAGTAGGGAATGAATAGTGGTTACCAGAGGCTGAGGTGGTTATGGGGAAGGGGGAGGTATGGAGATACTTTTCAAGGGATATATAGTCACAGTCAAAATATTCAAGTGATGTATTTTACAGCATGGTGACTACAGCTAATGAAAATATACTCTTGAAAAATGTAGAGAGAGAGGACGTTAAATATTCCCACCATAAAAATGATAAATATGTAAGGTAATGCATATGTTAATTAGCTAGATTCAACTGTTCCACAATATATATTTACTCAGAAGCATCACGTTGTACATGATGAATATACAATTTTATCTGTCAATTTAAAGTAGGGTTTAAAAAGCAATGTTTAGAAATTGATAGCATTTCAAACAATAAAATATAAAAGTTGGGTCTGTTGAGTGTGTGTGTGGATGCTGCATACTATTGGCAGGAAAGATAGAACACACTCAAATATGTTTCGCTCAGTAGACTACTTACACATTTATGTGAAGGGTCGGGGGAAAAATAATAAACGATAGTGAAGGAGCCAGGACCTAACAACAAAGACAACTGACCTAGCATCCCCGGAACTGGAAGAAAAAAGGAAGAGAGCTGTTGCCGGAGCTCAGTGAGAATTAGAGACATGGAACAAGAGCTGTCCAACAGTAGCTGTAGTTTAAGAGGAACACAATTCCAGCCACTCCACAGTAAGAAACAGAAGAGGAAGAGAAAAGTACCACAATCTCTGCTTTCACCCTCTTGCCAGTGCCTCCCATTGGCTGAAGTACTTTAGCAACCAAAGGCCAAGAGGAACCTGGGTAACAGAAAATCTAGACTTCATCCTCTTTGAACAGAGCAAGAAGGAGAAAAGTGAAATGAATCTGCTAAACAGAGTAACTATCAAAATACTTAAATTAGTATAAGTGTATTTAAAACAAAAGGATACAAAATTCCATCAGCATCTTTATCCTCATACACTAATGCCAGGCTATTTAAACCCCAACATGGAACCTGTATGTAATGTTACATACCACTCACACTCTTCATATAAAATTACAGGGAAACAGGGGAAGTAAACCAGTAAAATAAAATATAAAAGATAATGGCTCCATAGCTGGTCCGAAGTATTGGGGTTGTTATCAGAGCTTTCTTCCAATATGCATTTCATATTCCTTTTGAGAGTGTTTACAATAATTTAGATTGCACTATTTATTGACTTTTAACATTTTAGAGACACATTTACCATGAGGAACATTGCAATCAGAAGTTATGAGAATAAACTTTCATTTATCAAACACAAAAAGTAGACATTTTATTTTTATGAGAAACAACAGAGATGAGATATCCATTTAAGTGGAAGCAAAAACTGAAAGTTGCTAGTATTTGAAAGCATCATTTACTTTTTGCTTTTGGACAGACATTTCCTTCAACAAATCTTTACTGAGTTTCATATCTATGCAGGAAACTCATATTTGTTAGGAATGGACAAAATACCTATCTTCAATTTCAAGTAGCTTAGAGACTATTAGAGACATAAATACAAAAATAATTAGAATATAAGAAATCCATTATAATTAGATTTATATACATTCCTGAGGGAGTAAGGAGAGGATACAAATTGACCTGCAGTCATTGGGAACAGTGTCCTCGCAGAACACACAGCCTAAGAGTTGAGACTTGAAAAATTCATTCATTAATTTACGAAATATACAATTATTGAGTACCTGGATACTACGGATGGAGAGGCAAGGAAGACCAACACAGCCCCTTGCTATCTTGGAGTTTATATGGATGGCGGGTGAGGGCCACAGATAATACATATAGCTCAACAGGCCATTAGTTGGTTATAATGTGATCATACTATGAAATGAGAGCAATTGAATTGAGTCTGTAAAGGGGGGCCTTTAGTGCAGTACTGGACAACTGTGAAGACTGAAGTCAGAAGTAGTGAAAAAGAAGGTATAAACTCTTTCTAGACGGAAAGAAAGACCTGTGAAAGGCCCTGTCACATCACAGAGGAACCGGAAATCCAGTGCAGCTTGATCGCACAAGGTGCAGGATGGTTGTACAGTATCATAGCCTACCTTAATCTGTGGGTCCACAGAGATTTCTTGAGCTCTGCCCCAAATCTGAAATTTGAACACCCAGTAATCTTTCATGTTCTATCGTGGTTTCATTTTACAAACTTGGACTCAGAGATTGACCAATAAGAAGAGATGTACACATAAGTGTTTTATCTTCTTTTTTTTTTTTTCTCTTAATAGAGACAAGGTCTCATTATGTTGCCCAGGCTGGTCTTCAACTCCTTAGCTCAAGCAATCCTCTCCCCTTGGCCTCCCAAAAGTGCTGGGATTATAGGCGCGAGTCCCCGAACCCAGCCAGGTGTTTTCTCTTTATAAGTGGGATACAGAAACATCTGGTTGGGGATTTTTGGGGTAGGGACCAGAATGGCTGGGTGTGTGCAAACGGGATGGCTCAATATTTTAATGACTGGTACAGTCACATCAATGTCTCCCAGCCAAATAGAGCCCTGCTTTTTCTCTCTTCATTAGTGGTTCTGAAAGTGTGGTTACTGGACCCTGGACCAACAGCATCAGCCCATCCCCTAGAAACTTGCTAGAAGTGCAAATTCAAAACTTGCTAGAAGTGTGTGCAAGACTCACACTTACTGAATCAGAAACTCTGGGATGAGGTCTAGAAATGTGTATTTTAACAGGACTTCCAGGTGACTGATGCATACTCACACTTGAAAATTACTGCTCTAGGTAACTTTATTCTACAAACACAACTCACCCAAATTCTGCAGAGACCAAGATATTAACATTAATAGGAGGACAACTGCCAATCCCCAGGAGATTACTATGAATTATTTTGACATGAGACTTTTACATTCTCTTCCTGACTTCACCTCCACTTACAGAGAGAAGTGTGACTGCCAACTGCCAAAGAATGGGTTCTACCTGAGGCTCCAAAAAGCAGGATTTCATGTGTCTGAAGCATGAAATTAACCTCAGAACAAGTTTGAAAACAGAAGAACCTAAGGATTGTGGAGGTGTGATACTAATAAGCACGAAAACAAAAAGCATTCATCCCATTGTTGGAAAGGATTCTGAGATGTTTTAATTGAGAAAATATTTCTTTTCCTTACTACAGGCCTTGACTAGATATTAGCAAATAGTAGTCCATATGCTGGATTTGGTCTCATACTAATTGAAAATAAATTGAAATTTTTGCCAGTAGTTAAAATTTGAGATATTAGCTACAAATATCAAATCTGACCACTCTTGATCATATTTAATAGGATTCAGCAACCCTAAACCTTCCTTCCTATAGGACAAAATTGAGTATCAATTATACTTCACATCCAATTATACTTCGCATCCAATTATACTTCATATACAAAGTATAAGCTCTCCAGTTTGCTGTAGTCCTCATCACTCCCTATCCTTTTTTATACGCAACTCATCTCACTTCCTTATGTTATGTTTCTGGCTTCTACAATAGGCATTTGGATTTGGTGCCCCCCGGGGTCTTGATCACAGCTTCTCAAACTTAAATATGGATACAGCCCACCTGGTGATTCTGATTTAAATTCACGGGGTTGGGTCGAAGAATTCAGTTCTAACCAGCTTCCAGGTGAAACCAATGTTGCTGGGTCATGGATCACACTTTGAATGACAACATTCCAGGTAAGAATATTATTTATTTGAAAACCACTGCTAGTCTACTTAAGGTATGTGTTCGATCTATTAGTTACTACTGCTAAAACTCAGAAGATATAGATTTATGTGACACTGGCAGGGAAGTATCAAAGGGTATCAGACTCAGAATGCCCAAGTATGCCCTTCAGTAAAGTAAGGAAGGGCTTTATTACAGTACTGATATGTGAAAAACTCTAAAGATTGAAATAACTAGTAATGAAGAGGACGCTTCCTTCCTTCACTGAGGCCTGTGAAAAGAGCATCAGTAAAGTGCAGGTGAATTATAGGCCAGAGTTTTCTGGGTGATTAGCAAGGAAGTGAGTAGTGGTCCATTGCAAGGCTGAACCAGAGGAAGAAGCAAAATTGAAGGAGGCACTGATATCAGAAGGTGAGTTTAACAGCCTTCATGACACAAATGTCCTTTTTCCCAAAGATGGTTTAAATAAAGGGGTGACTTCAGGGAGTGGGGAGGTTAACCTCTGGGTTAAAATGTCATTAATATTAGTTGTAAAATACACTGGCTAACATTTATTCAACTTTTTTTAACATAACCTTGCCAAGGTAAAGATTTATAATACTAGTATTTTTTTTTTTTTTTTTGAGACAGGGTCTCATTCTGTTACCCAGGCTCGAGTACAGTGACACAATCATAACTCACTGAAGCCTTGACCTCCCAGGCCCAAATGATCCTCCTGCCTCAGCCTCCTGAGTAGCTGAGACTACAGGTGCACCACCTTCCCTGGCAAATTTTTAACTCTTTTTGTATAGATGTGGTCTCCCTATGTTGCCCAGGCTAGTCTTGAACTCCTGGTCTCCAGCTATCCTCCTGCCTCGACCTCCCAAAGTTCTGGGATTACAGGCGTGAGCCACCGCACCTAGCTACTGTTATTTTATTTCTGAGGATAGTGGTAGGTTAAAGAGCTGGCACAGTGGCATGTGAAGCCAGTATAGAAATCACAAACCCTGTGTGACCCAAGACTGTGCACTATTTTATTTTTTTCATGGGCAAAATATTGTATTAGATCATATGAAATTTCTGATATTTCAATTTCTTTGTTGATGAAAATGGCTTCATATAGTTCAATTTAAAACATGATGAAAATGAGACAGGAGTTTCTTATTTCCAGCTAACATTCTAAAGATGTAAATAAATTTGGAAAAATTGTCAAAGTCACAAAATAAAAATCTACCATGCACAGATAGGAAAAAATGTTTGCATTTTTCCAGGTTTCATTTTATATCCTTCAAGTCGTCATTTAGACGGGAAAGTAAAAGCAAAAGGTGAATGGAGTATACATATATGACTGGCAATAGAGAGCCGAGGGAGTGGAATTAGAATAAAGTAGTATAGGGCAGGAGTTGGTCCTGACAGTAGGTATAGGCAAAAGCATATCAGGACATGATACTAGGAACTGCTACGGTAAACTTCCAATCGTTCAGATCATCTGAGAATAGAGAGGGGCTAGCAAAACAGATAAGTTGTAAGAACTTGGAACTTTGGCAACATAGAGTTACAGACCTAATGGTCTCTAGCGTCAACGACATTTTTGATATATTGTTAGATAACAGACATCCTTATGATTGTGCCCAGTGTTTCTCAAACTTTAATGTACATATGAATCACCTGGAGAGTGTCAAACTATGCATTCTAAGTCAGTAGGCCTGGGTTGGGGCCTGAGATTCTGCATTTCTAACAACTGCCCAAGGGATATCAATGCTTCGGATCCATTAATCACATTTTAAGGAGCAATGGTATAAGTCACTTTGAGTTGGCCTTTTTGTCATTTGCAGTAAATGGCATTCTAAGACGTAGTATTTTTCAAATGATTTTACTCGAGAGCTGTCATCCCACCCCCGGACATGAAAACGTATCTGTATGAACATAAAGGAATTCAATGGGAATGCCAGCTTTGCTTTACAGAAACTCTGTTAGAATGTAGGAAGGCGGCTGGGTGCGATGGCTCACGCCTGTAATCTCATCACTTTGGGAGGCTGAGGCGGCGGATCACAAGGTCAGGAGTTCGAAAGCATCCTGGCCAACATGGTGAAACCCCATCTCCACTAAAAATACAAAAATTAGCCGGGAGTGGTGGCACATGCCTGTAGTCCCAGCTACTCAGGAGGCTGAGGCAGGACAATTGCTTGAACCCGGGAGGCGGAGGTTGCAGTGAGCTGAGTTCGCACCATTAGACTCCAGCCTGAGTGACAGAGTGAAACGCCGTTTCAAAAAACAAAAAAGAAAGAATGTAGGAAGGCAATTATTCTTTAACCAGTGTTGTCCAGAACTTACTAAAATGATGTAAATATTCTATGTGTGCACTATAGGTATACATATATAATGGACACTAGTCAGGTGGGAATAATGAACACTTGAAATATGTATGGCTAGTAAGGCTCAGAAACTGAATTTTTAACTATATTTAATTATAATAATTATAATTTACCTACACATAGCTAGCGGCTGCAATATTGGACAGCACAGCTATAAACCGACAGATAATTAGATTACCAATATCCGTGAATCCTTATTTGCAAGTACTTATCCATACCAATTTATTTTGTCCTCCAATGTCTATGAGGAATGACATCCTAAGTTTAGCAATCTAGCAATAAACATTAATAGCATTTTTTAAAATTTTCATTTTCCATATACAAATTTATAAATGCAAAATAGTACATGTTTTCATTAATTTCAGCCTGTATTTGATGGTCCTAATAGCATTTTTTGTGCTTTATGGAAATACATTATAAAATGTATAAACATATATTATGAAAACATAATCATATGCTAGGCACTAACTAATAAAGGCATAAATGGATAGACTTTATAAAACCTAGAGGACTACAATTAAAACTTACAAATTACCAAGAGGTGTGAGCTCTTTAGGAAGACAGGCTCTCAGGCCCAATTCCCTAGAATTCACAGTTACTGGCATATATGCAATCCTCAATTTAAAAAAATACACCTAATAAAAGGAGGTAATGTATTATAATGAAAGTCTAGATTAGAAAAGAACTACCAGTGATGTTCAATTGACATGTCTTACATGTAAAATACAATTACATGATTTAAGTCAGAAATAAAACCTGTATAATATGATTTAAGGGAAAGATACCAGTACAAATTAGAGAAACTTAATTTTTAATGCATGTTTTTACTTTTAAATGCACGCCATTTAGAAACTAAAATTGTACTGATGAAAATTGGAATTGATTTATTTACTTATTCAAAATGATGGCTCAGGCTGGGCACAGTGGCTCAGGCCTGTAATCCCAGCATTTTGGGAGGCCGAGGTGGCTGGATCACCTGAGGTCAGGAGTTCAAGACCAGCCTGGCCAATAGAAACCCCATCTCTACTAAAAATACAAAAATTAGCTGGGCGTGGTGGCAAGCACTTTTTAATCCCGGCTACTCAGGAGGCTGAGGCAGGAGAATCACTTGAACCCGGGGGGACAGAGGTTGCAGTGAGCTGAGATCACACCACTTCACTCCAGCCTGGGTGAAAGAACAAAACTCCGTCTTAAAAAAATAGATAAAAATAACAAAACGATGGCTCAAAAATTCTAGCAAGGTGGTTCTTATAGATAGATTAGTTTTGGTTTTAGCTTAACAATTCTTTATATGCAACTAGATGCTTCTAGAATGCTGTCATCTGCTTAAATAAGTAATTTTTAAAATCAACTTTGTTTCAGCTTTTGTTTCATTCTCTATTAAGAAAGGTATTGGGGGCTGGGGAAGGAATAGCATTAGGAGAAATACCTAATGTAAATGAGCTGATGGGTGCAGCAAACCAACATGGCACATGTATACCTATGTATCAAACCTGCGAGTTGTGCACATGCATCCTAGAAATTAAAGTATAATAATAATAATAAAAGAGGGAGAGAAAAAAGAAAAGAAATCCAAGATAGGTTAAAAAACAGAAAGTTATTAATTGAGGTAATGTTTAAGTCCGGCTTTTATTCAAACTATCACAGATAGGTGAATTAGTGGAATTTATATAAATAATGCCTTAATATAAAAAGGTACTAATTGATTAGAATCACTGAGAGAACTTTTCAAAATGACGTCCCAGCCCCATTCCCCAACAATTCAATCAGAATATCTGGGAATGGAGCCCAGGTATTGGTTCTGTAAAAAACTATCCAACCAGGTAATTCGAATGAACATCCAGGGTTGAGAACGATTGTGCCTCTTCCCCGCCCCCCCCCCCGCCCCAGGACACAGCCATAATTTTTACTTTAGCCCTTGGGTCCTCACAAGTGGCAAATACCTGGAAAGCTGTATCCAGACAACATGACTTGTTAGGGTTAACATGAACCAGATGCACAGAGGTAACATGGAGACAAAGGATCAGGATGCACAAACATGCGTTTACTTATTTATAAATGACTTCCACAAGTACTAAAATATCTATTATGTACCCCCAGAAATTACAAATAAAAAAGAAGACTTACTAAAGAGTAATTTTGATCTTGTAGAATTTGGGGCTTTTAAATATAATTTTTAAATACAAAATAATAATTGTGTGTCAGAAAAAAAGAGGTATTATTGTAATTAATCCTATTGATTCAGCAACTGATATTAGCCCCAATTTACAGGTGGGGAAACAAAGGCTTACTTGGGTCAAAACGCAAACAAGGGAAGGTGACAAAGTGGGAACTCAGGTAGTTTGGCTCCGGGGCCTGCTTCACAATCATGCAATATTGCCTGAACTAAAATTAACTTTTTAGAGATTAACTTTATATCTATTATAAAGTCATTTATGGCACTGATTATAAATATTAAAAAAATAGAAAACAGAAGTTCATTTGGTGGAATTTTATACAGAGATTGTCATTAATAATTTTATTATTTTCACCAAAACGAAAATTACAGTTGTTACTCTTGAGACAATTGTTCTTAGCATGATGTTTACTTTAATGATAGAAACCACAATACCCTATTTTTTAAATTTTTATTTTTTTGGGTATATAGTATGTGTTTATATTTATGGGATACAAGAGACATATTCATACAGGCATACAGGCATAATATGACATTAGGGTTAATAGGGTATCCATCACCTCGAGCACTTATCATTTCTTTATGTGACAAACATTCCAATTATACTTTTTGTTATTTTAAAACGTACAACAAATTATGTTTGACAGTAATCATCCTGTCGTGCTATCAAATACTACATCACATTCATTCAATCTAACTATATTTTTGTACCCATTAATGATCCCCACTGCCCCCGACCCACTAGCATTCCCATCCTCTGGTAACCATCATTCTAGTCTCTATCTCCATGAGTTCAGTTGTTTTAATTTTTTTTTTTTTTTTTTTTTTTTTTTTTTTTTTTTTAAGCTCTCACAAGTAAGTGAGAACATGCAAAGTTTGTTTTTCTGTGCCGGGCTTATTTTAATCAACATAACGTCCTCCAGTTCCATCCATGTTGTTGTAAGTGACTGGATCTCATTCTTTCTTAGTCAAGCTTAAGACTTGTCATTTTTGTCAACCCTTTCAAAAAAACCTTCTTTTTGTTTTGTTGATCTTTTGTATCATTTTGTTGTACTTTAATGTATTTCAGCTCTGTTCCTTACTGTAATATTTATTTTCTCATACTAATTTTGGGTTTGGTTTGCTCCTTCTTTTCTAGCTCTTTAAGGTGTATCATTCAATTATTTGAAAGTTCTTCTGCTTTTTTGATGTAGGTATTTATACCTATAAACTTTCCTCATAGTACTGCTTTCACTGCTTCCCATAGGTTTTGGTTACATTGCGTTTCCTTTTTCATTCGTTTCAAGAAATTCTATAGTTTCCTTCTTAACTTCTTCTTTGACCCACTGATAATTCAAGAGCATATTGTTTAATTTCCATGTGTCTCTATAGTTTCCAAAATTCTTCCTACTGATATCTTGATATATTCAGTTGTGATCAGAAAAGCTAATTTATGTTATTTTGATTTTTGAATTTTCTAAGACTTGTTTCGTGGCAGAACATATGGCTTGTCCTTGAAAATTATCCATGTGCTGAGAAGAAGAATATGTACTCTGCAGCTGTTGGATAAAATGTTCTGTAAATATCTATTAGTTCAAATTGGTCTACACTGCATAATAAGTCTGATGTTTCTTTGTTGATTTTATGTCTGGATGATCTATCTGGCCACTGCTGAAAATGGGGAATTGAAATCACCGGCTATTACTGTTTTGGGGTCTATCTCTCTAACTCTAATAATATTTGATTTATACGTCTGGGTGTTCCAATGTTGGGTACATATTTATTTACAATTGTTATGTCCTCTTGCTGAATTGACCCCTTTATCATTCTACAATGACCGGCGTTGTCCCTTTTTATAGTTTTTGTCTTGAAACCTATTTTGTCTGATAAAAGAATAGCTAATCCTGTTCTTTTTTGGTTTCGATTGGCATGGAATACTTGTTCCATCCCTTTATTTTCAGTCTATCTTTATCTTTATTGGTCAAGTGTGTTTCTTGTAAGTAACAGATTATTGTGTCTTGTATATTCTTTTATCCATTCTGTCACTCAATGTATTTAGATTGGATAGTTTAGTCAATTTACATTCCATGTTATCATTGGTACGTTAAGGACTTAAACACTTCCCATTTTGCTATTTCCTTTCTGGTTGTTTTGTGGCCTTCTCTTCATTCTCTCTTTCCTTCCTGTCTTACTATTAATGAAAGTAATTTTCTCTGGTCATATGTTATACATTCTTATTAATTTTTATGTACCTGAGTACATTATTTGATTTGTGGTAACTATGAGGTTTGTAAAGAATAAGTTATAATCCATTATTTGAAATTCATGACAACACTGGTTGCATAAACAAATAAGCAAAGAGAAAACTAAAAAAAAAAAAAATGCTACACTTTAACTTCATCCCCCCACTCTTTTTGTTGTTTCTATTTATATCTTATTATAGTGTCTATGTCTTGAAAAGTTGTTGCAGTTATTTTTGATAGGTTCGTCTTTTAGTCTTTTTACTCAAGATATGGGTAGTTGAGACATCATAATCACAGTGTTATAATATTCTCTTTGTAACAGAATAGTAACAAACCTTACTATCACCAGTGAGTTTTGTTACTTCAGATGATGACTCATTGCTCATTAACATCCTTTTCTTTAAGATTGAAGAACGCCCTTTACCATTTCTTGTAGAAAAGGTTTGGTGTTAATGAAATCTGTCAGCTTTTCTTTGTCTTAGAAAGTCTTCATTTCTCCTTCAAGTATGAAGAGGATTTTCATAGATATACTATTCTAGAATAAAAGTCTTTTCCTTCAGCACTTTAAATGTATCATGCCACTCTCCTGGCCTGGAAGTTTTCCACTGAAAATTGTGCTGCCAGACATACTGGAGCTATTTCTATGTGATTTTTTTTTTTATATGATTACCGCTTTTAAGATCTTTTCTTTATCCTTGACCTTTGGAAGTTTGATTTTTAAATGCCCTGAGGTAGTCTTATTTATATTATATCTCCTTGGTGTTCTATTATCTTCTTGTACTTGAATTTTAATCTCTCTCTCTAGGTGGGGGAAGTTCTGTGTTATTACCCTCTTCAATAAACTTTTTAGGACTTTTTTGTCTCCTCTGACTGTATTTACAAATAGCTTGTCTTCAAGCTAATTCTTTCTCCTGCTTGATCAATTCTTCTGTTACTCGTCTCTGACGCATTCTTCAGTATGTCAGTTAAATCTTTCAACTCCAGAATTTTTGTTCGATTCTTTTTATTTCAATCCCTTTGTTAAATTTATGTGTAGGATTCTGAATTCCTTCTCTGTACTATCTTGGATTTTATTGAGCATCCTCAAATCAGCCATTTGGAATTCTCTGTCTGAAAGGTCACATATCTGTCTCTCCAAGATTGGTCAGCGATGCCTTATTTAGTTCAGTTGGTGAGATCATGTTTTCTTGGATGGTCTTGATGCTTCCGGATGTTCATCAATGTCTGGGCATTGAAGACTTTGGTATTTATTGTAGTCTTTGCAGTATCGGCTTGTTTGTATCCATACTTCTCAGGAGGGCTTTCCAGGTATTTAAAGGTTCTTGGGTGTTGTGATTTATTCCTTTGGTCACTGCAGCCATATATGCACTGGGGTGCACCCAAGCCCAGTAATGCTGTGACTCTTGCAGACTGTTAAACGTACTGCCTTGGTGATCTTTGGGAAGATTCAGGAAAATCCCCTGTATTACCTGGTAGATAATCTTTTTCTCTTTCCTTCCCCTCAACAAAGAGAGTCTCTCTCTGTGATGAGCTGCCTGGAGCTAAAGGAGAGGTGACACAAGCACCCCTGTAGCTACCACGACTAGGATTGTGTTGGGTCACTCCTAAAGCCAGTACAACACTGGGTCTTGATCAAGGCCCACACTGACCACTGACTGGCTATCACCTACATTCACTCAGGGCCCAAGGACTCTACAATCGGCAGGTGGCAAATCCAATGAAGCTTGTGTTTTTCACTTCAGGGTAGCAATTTTTCCCTGGTGGGTTTGCAAGATCCTATATGTAAGCCAGGGCCTGGGGTCATGTATTAGGCCATTCTCACAATGCTATAAAGAAATATCTGATACTGGGTAATTTATGAAGAAAAGAGGCTTAAATGGCTCATGGTTCTGCAGGTTGTCCCTGAGACATGATGCTGGCATCTGCTCTGCTTCTGCGGAGGCCTCAGGAGATTTACAATCATGGCAAATTGCGAAGGAGGAGCAGTCATGTCACACGGCCAGGGAAGAGGTGAGTGGGAGGGTACCACACACTTTTAACCAACTGGATCTGACAAGAATTCACCCACTATCATGAAAACAGCACTAAGAGGATAGTGCTAAACCATTCATGAGAAATTCAACGCCATGATTCATTCGGCTCCCACCCAGGCCCCACCTCTGACAGTGAGGATTGTAATTCAATGTGAGATCTGGGCAAGAACATACATCCAAACCATACTATTCCATCCTGGCCCCTCCCAAATCTCAAGTCCTTCTCACATTTAAACATACAATCATGTCTTCCAAACAGTCCCCCAAGGTCTTTACTTATTCCAGAATTAACTCAAAAGTCCGGAGTCTCATCTGAGACAAGGTAAGTTTCTTCTACCTATGAGCCCGTAAAATCAAAAACCAATTAGTTACTTCCAAGATACAATGGGATTATAAGCATTGAGTCAACACTCCTATTCCAAAAGGGTGAAATTGGTCAAAAGAAAGGTCTCATGCAAGTCTGAAACCCAGCAGGGTAGTCATTAAATCTTAAAACTCCAAAATTATCTGCTTTGACTCCATGTCCTACATCCAGGGTAAACTGGTGGGAGTGGTGTGCTCCCAAGGCCTTGGGCAGACTCCAACTTTGTGGCTTTCTAGGGTTCAGCTTCCAAAGCTGCTCTTATGGTCTGGTGCTGAGTGTGTGTTTCATTTCCAGATACAAGGGTCAAGCTGTCAGTGGATCTACCATTCTGGAGTCTGGAGGACAGTGGCCCTCTTCTTACAGGTCCACTAGGCAATGCCCCAGTGGGGACTACGTGTGGGGGATCAAAGCCCACATTTTCCCTCTGCATTGCCCCAGGAGAAGTTCTCTGTGAGGGTTCTGCCCCTGGAGCAGGCTTCTGCCTGGAAACCCAGGCTTTTCCATACAACCTCTAAAATCTAGATGGATGTTCCCAAGCCTCAACTCTTGCACTCTGTGCACCTGCAGGCTTATGGCTTGTACCCGCTGGAGCTGTGGCCCAAGCTGTACTTGGGCCACTCTGAGCCACAGCTGGAGCTACAGTGGCCAGGACGCTGGGTGCGGGGGGGAGGGGTTGGGGCGGGGGCACAGTGTACGAGGTTGAACAGGGCAGCTGGGACCCTGGGCCTGGCCCAGGAAACCATTCTGTCCTCTTAGGCCTCCGGATCTATAATGGGAGGGGCTGCCTTTTAGATCTCTGAAATGCCTTCCAGGCCTTTTTCCCCATTGTCTTGGCTATCAGCACTTGCCTTCTTTGTAGGTATACAAATTTTTCTAGCAAGTGGTTGCTCAGAAGCCTTCTTGAGTTCTCCTGAAAATGGGCTTTTATTTTCTACCACATATCCATGTTGCAAATTTTGAAAACCTTTATGGTCTGCTTTCCTTTTAAATATACATGTATAAATATGTAAAAAACCTGCACGTTCTGCACATGTATCTCAGAACTTAAAGTACAATAAAATAAAATAATAAATATTCCATCTTATTTCTTTGCTCCTGCATCAGAGAGTAGGTTGTTAGAAGTGGCCACACAACGTCTTGAACATTTTGCTGCTTAGAAATTCATTCCGTCAGACACACGAGATCATCACTCTCAAGTTCAAACTTTCACAGATATCTAGAGCATGGACATAATACAGCCAACTTCTTTGCTAAGGGATAACAAACATGTCATTTACTCCAGTTGCCAATAAGTTCATTCTTTCCATCTGAGACCTCGACAGCTTGGACTTCACTGTGCATATCAGTATCAGCACTTTGGTAACAATCATTTAACCAGTCTCTAAGACATTCCAAATTTTCCCTCATCTGTCTTCTTCTGAGCCCTCCAAACTCATCCAACTTCTGTCTGTTACCCAATTTCAAAGCAGCTTCTACATTTTCAAGTATCTTGACAGCAAAGCCCCACTTCTTGGTAACAATTTTCTGTACTAGGCCACTCTCGCATTGCTATCAAGAAATACCTGAGACTGAGTAATTTATAAAGAAAAGACGCTTAATTGGCTCACAGTTCTACAGGCTGTACAGGAAATATGATGCTGGCATCTGCTCAGCTGCTGGGGAGGCCTCAGGAAACTTACAATTATGGCAGAAGGTGAAGGAGGAACAGGTACATCACATGGCCACAGCAGGAGCAAGAGTGAGAGGGAGGGTGCCACGCTTTTAAACAACCAGATCTTGCAAGAATTTACTCACTATTGCAAGGACAGTAGCAACCAATTATGAAAAATTTGCCCCCATGATCCAATGAGCTCCCACTAGGCCCTACCTCAAACACTGCAGATTACTACAATTCAACGTGAGATTTGAGCAGGCACACATGTCCAAACTATATCAACTCAAGAACCTAAGAAATCTACCTGGTGCTCTATTCTACTGTGGCTAAGCTGGCACCCCACCCAAAAGATAAAGTCCTTCCCTCTCTTCTCTCCCCTTTCCACAAACAGAGATGTCTCTCCTCATGGCCACGACGACTACTGAACCAAAGAGAGTACTGTCTGAGGTCCAATGTTCACTCAAGGGCCAAGGCCACTTTGGCCAGCCTGTGGTGAATGCTGTCAGTCCTGAGTCTCTCCCTTCAGGGCAGTAAGAAAATGGAATCCAGGAGCCAAACTCTGGAATCAGGGACCCTAGGAGCCCACTTGATGCTCTGCCCCACTGTGGTCAAACTGGAACCCAAGCTGCAAGCCAAAGTCCCCTTTACTCTCACCTCTCCTTTCCTGAAGCAGAAGGATTCTCTCCCTGTAGCCACCACAGCTGGGAATGTACTGGGTCACACCTGAAACCATCACAGCTCTGAGTCTCACCCAATACCCACAGCAAGTACTGCCTGGCTACAGCTGCTGATTATTCAGGGCCCTAGGTCCCTTTGGTCAGCATGTCATGAATTCTGCCAGGACGGGGTCCTTCTCTTCAAGGTGACAGGCTCTCTTCTGGCCCAGGGTGTGTTCAGAAATGTTATCTGTGAGCTAGGGCCTGGAATGGGGACCTCAAGACTCTGCCTGGTGCCCTATCCTATTGTATGTCTGAGCTGGTATCCAAGCAGCAAGACAAAGTTCTCTTTCTTGTCTCCTCTCTTCTTCATAAGCGGAAGGAAGGAGTCTTTCCTGGAGCTGTGAGCTGTGCTGCCTGGGGTTGGGGGAAGGGAAGCACAAGCAGTCCCTTAGCTGCCCCAGCGGATGTCTCACTAGGTTGTATGTATCCCAAGTCCACTGACTCTGAGCCCGGCACAGCACCAGGACTTGCAAAGGAACTGCAGTCCTTGTGGCCTAGACTACCTTTGAAGTTTATTTAGAACCACAGAGCACTCTAATCCATGATGACAAGGCTTGCCGGAACTCAGGTTCCAAACACTGGGATGGATGATTCTTCCCTGTCTAGGGTTCATCTAAATGCTCCCTCTGCGGGATTTGGCTGAGTTCTGTTCTTTGTCGGTTTCCACTGTGACAGGGCAGCACTGATTTTCAATGCAAAGTCCTATAATCACTGCAATCTCCCTTCTGCAAGCACATAGACTCTCTCTTCATGCCATGTGACTGCTGCCATGGATGAGGGAGAGCTGGTATAGGTGATAGAATATTGCCTTTACTACCCTCTTCTGTGCCTCTTTCTGTGATACAACCCAAAAACCAGGTACTACGATCATGCACCTAATTTTTCACTCTTATGAAGGTGCTTTTCTAGTGTGGACAGTTGTTCAATTTGATGTTCCTGCAACAGGGATAATTACTGGAGGCTTCTGTTTGGCGATTTTTCTCCACCTCCTCCACAATAAACTTCGAGACTCATTTTCCCTCAAATATATGGTGACCATATAAAATGACTAGATATTTTTAAAATGTATGGTGTATCATTAAATATAGGAATCAGAAATCATGATATATTATAATCCAAGAAATGGCAAACATGTTTTAATATAGAAAAGCAACATTCATTTAAAAGAAAAGCTTGAGTAGTGCATGTACAAACATATGCACATAGTTTTTTGTTGTTGTTGCATGGCAATAATGAATGGTCCATAGGAAGCATATTAGTATTTTTCAACTCCCAAGATTTATAACGTTTATCAAAGTTCAATAAGTGGCCTGTGAAATATAAGCTTTAAAGCCAGAATCCAAACAGAACCAATTACCCCCTCAAATGTGTAAGACTTCAGCTGTCACTGTTTTCACTATCTCATCACCTTTACCACAAGTACATCCATCGCTATTGTCCTCTAGTTCTCATGCTAACTTTCTGAATGGGTACCCTCAGCATCTGTGAAGCTGTAGAAACCCTACTGGCCTAGTTTACCTACTTGCCTCAGTAACTAGATCTGCTTTCCTCCAAATTCTGGTATTCCTTACTAGACTCAGCTGCAAAGCCTGACACTGCATGGTGTCACGGTGTGTATAAATCTTAGGCACTAATATAGTAGTTTCCATTGGAGAATGAAGTGAGGCAAGGTCTGACAAAATTATACAGTTTTTATCCCCCTAAAACTAATGTGTTCATTCTCCTCTTTACAGCACCTTCTTTCCCAACACGAAGTATGCTGACATCTTGGGCTAGGAAAGAAGCCAAGGAGAGCATGTCATGTATCATTTTCAAAAATTCCCACTAATTGCCATAGTTATTATACTGCACCCTGCAACCTGATCTTGGAGGTCAAACTTTAAATTACAACCTCACAGTAAATAGTTCAGAAAGAACCTAATATAAAGTTCCCCATCCAACAACTAGAAATGAAGGAAAATGTTCCAGTTTTTCACAAAATTAAACATGCACTAACATTTATTTTCCTACTTAATGGAATGTGAGAAATAGTATTGTTTTTATACTGAATTCTATGAGAAAATCGAAAATGTGTCATTGTTTTCAAATCCTGATCCATTTTTGTCCTCCATCCATATAGCTGAACAGTTTAATTATTAATATTTTTCAACTATCCGAGGCAACATTAAAGTTCAAATGCAAACACATTTATTTTCATTTTGAAAACATAAATTCAGTTTAGTAACAATAACATAAAGAAGCTGCGTGGCTGGATGCAAAAGATTCTTGGCCAGGCGTGGTGGCTCATGCCTGTAATCCCAGCACTGAGGCTGAGGAGGCTAAGGCAGGTGGATCACGAGGTCAGGAGGTCGAGACCATCCTGAATAACATGGTGAAACCCCGTCTCTACTAAAAATACAAAAAGTTAGCCGAGCGTGGTGGCGGGCACCTGTAGTCCCAACTACTGGGGAGGCTGAACCAGGAGAATGGCGTGAACCCGGGGGGCGGAGCTTGCAGTGAGCCGAGATAGCGCCACTGCACTCCAGCCTGGGAGACAGGGAGACTCTGTCTCAAAAAAAAAAGAAAAAGAAAAAGAAAAAGATTCTTGTGGCAAATACATTATGGCAACCCTCAAATCAATCTTCCTGATTAAATGCTTTTAAAGAAAATAAAGAAATTGGCAGATGTCATCAGGAGCCAAGGACAAATATGAATATATCACGTTTGGAAGACTGTTTAAATTATCTCTAGTAAGAATAGGTAATGTTGACACTCTGAAATTCTATTCATTTATGTGGAAATAGAAGCTCACTCTCAACTTCAAAAATTTTGCCACTACATAGCATCTGGCACAGTGCCTGGCACATACTACACACTCAATAAATATTTCTTCAATGTATAAGTAGTATAACTTAATTATGAACAAGACATAGTTTTGATATTTCTGATTGGGAATTTTTGTACTAAGATTAAAATGTCAACTTCTATTAAATCTGCTCTCTGAGATAGTCTATTAGTTTAATTTGAATTGTTCCAACCCCTGGCTGTTACCCAGTTCCAAAGTCACTTCCACGTGTTCGGGTATCTTTATAGCAGCACCCCACTCTCTGCGGTACCAATGTACTGTACTAGTCTGTTCTCACGCTGCTAATTAAAGACATAATAGAGACTGGATAATTTATAAAGAAAACAAGTTTAATTGACTCACAGTTCGGCATGGCTGGGGAGGCCTCAGAAAAAATCATGATGGAAGGGGAAGCAAACATGTCCTTCTTCACATGGCAGCAGGAAGAAGGGCCAAGCAAAAGGGGAAAGGCCCCTTATAAAACCATCAGATCTTGTGAGAACTCACTCACTATCATGAGAACAGCATGAGGGTTACACTCCCATGATTCAATTACCTTCCACCAGGTCCCTCCCACAACACATGGGGATTATGAGAACTACAATTCAAGATGAGCCAAACCATATCAGCATTATTTATCTTTGTGAGAAAGCATTGTTTTTGAAGATACGGCTCTCTCATTTCTGTGAATTCCAGAAATTTAGCTTTCCTGTAATTTAAACTATGAGTCACATGCATTGTATTATTAGTACAAGAGATGTCCACATTTAGCTGCATTATCACATTTTTAATTATTGACAGAAAAATTATTATGACCATAATCCATGTGCAACCTAACCGAATGTCACGTTATCATCTATAAATAATTCCTACTTCTTATTAGTCCAATAGCTTAATTATCAATACTCATCAACACTCATATATTGTCTGTTATATATTATTGCACCAGAATCTTGCTACTGCTTAATCACCCATGGGGTATGATATCAACATATGAGGACTGAATGAAATATCAGCACCATTTTTAGAGCTCCTGAGAAAGTAATTAAAATATTTGGCCCACGTCACTTGATAGAAAAATAGGAACAGAAGATATCTAAGTAGAGGTTTACAAAGAAGTTGAGATTTCTACTCTGTCTTAATTTCAGTTAGATCAGTGCTTCTCAAACTTAAACTGATCAGGGATCACCTGGGATATTGCTAAACTGCACAATTCTGATTCTGTATATATCAGAATGAGAGCTGAGAGTCTGCATTTTTAACAAGTTCTCAGGTGACGCTGATGCTACTGGTCCTACACCACCTTGATCTGCAAGTTACTATTGCTTAACATTACTGGAAGAAGTAAAACAGAAAAATCAATGAACTTACCAAATTGTGAAATAAAATCACAATTAGGAGTTTGAGATTGTGCACCTCCAAAGTATTTACTGCAACGAATTCAATTCCAAGATTGGAATTACCTGAATAACTTAATTTAGTTGTTCATCTATTCATTCATATATTCACATACGCAAACTTCACTGCACTTGGGAGAAAATAACCCACTCATTTGTTCAGCACCTCCTTTTCTCTATCCACTCTCACATATGCCATCTTATTTCCAGAGTCAAATAGACACTTGGGGGAAAAAAAAAGAGATGAGCCATATTTGTTAGATGTATTTTTCTGTCCAGTCAAAGCATTGATGGTGATTCACAATTATTTTCCATATTATGGCTTGTGTATCTACCCAGATACTATTCATATCTCTCCTCCTGCTGATATAAACCAAAAAACACAACTTCACTTGGCCTCCTGACTTGCTTTCATTTTTTTCCCTTACCGTCACAGAAGTTTTAGTTTCTGCCTGCATGTCCTAACTACAATTATCAGAAAAGTTGATGGAACTTGCTGTGCTTAACTTTGAGTCCTTATAAAAATGTCAGTAAATCTTTTTTGCTCTCTGCAGGTTGCATTTTTCAATCAAATTAATTAGTTTATTCATAGAGAAGAAAATCTTCTGTTTTCCCTGTGCCAGTTGTCTTCTTGCACTTCCACAGTTGGAAGTTGTGTGTTTTTCTTCCGAATTCCTTACCTCCTACCATCCCAAGTGTATTCCACAGCATTAAAAAAAAAATCATTGGCTTACTCCTCTTAAGGGGTTCTAACAAAACCACATCAATATTCTCTTGTTTTAAACACTACATTATGAAAGGAATGGCACTTAGTTTTCTCATTTAAATCATATAAACATTGGTAAAGTTTTGTAATTGACCAGTATCGGCACGTGCCAAACTCATTTGTGACTGGAGATGTGTTAATAAACTTCTTTATTGTATTAGCTTTTACCTCATCAGAAATTTATGTCCATAAAAGCAACAGAATTGGAGGGAAAATACAATAGCAAGGAAAGAATCAAATGAGAGTGTGGTTATGAAGGAGAAAGAAAGGAGGAAGTATCTGTATGGTTATCTTTCCTGACATTCCTTTGTAAGCATATTTTTAAATGTTGCCATTGTGAAAAAATAACTGCAAATGTATTTCTAATCATCCTGCTCATGCTCCCTTATCCCCATACAAAATAACCACAGCTATACTCTTTGGGAAAAAAAAATGACTGAGGCAATTAGAAAAGGCTGGAGAAAAAAAGTAAAAAACATCTATGAGGGTCAGGTTTGGTAGCTCAGGTCTGTAATACTAGTACTTTGGGAGGCCAAGGTGGGAGAGGATCACTTGAGGCCAGGAGCTTGAGACTAGCCTGGGAAACATAACAAGACCTCATTCCCTGCAAAATTTTTTTAAAAGTTAAAAAATTATATATAAGTTATTATACAAAATATATGAAATATAATTATATATAAAATTATATAATACTTCATATAGAAAATATCAAATTACATATAAAAAGTGACATGGTATGGTAAAATAGTTAACTGACAGCTCATCATCTTATTTATCACAGTTATCTTTCTTCACATTTTATAATAATTTTGCATTCACAAACTAACTTTTTATACCCTATCTCATCTAGTATCTTTCAGAGGTATGTCAGCCTCATGACACTATTGCTGTTTTACAAAACTATAAAGTAGAGAACAGAAAAGAAAAGTATATTGCCCCAGTTCACATAAATAAGTGTTTGAGAAAGCAAGCCCTTATTCCTTAGGCAAACTGGAGAGGATTTTATGTAAGGCAGAAATCAGGGCACGCTATTATCTTTGTATTTTTAATATTTCTTGTTTTGCATAATTGTTGATGGTTTATGGGATAAATATTATTTCCTAGATGCAACTTGAATAATAGTAACTGTGGGCACAAATTGAAGCAGTCTATTTCCAAAGGAAAAAGCACTTTTACTGTCAAAAGGAAAAAAAAATAGGAACTAAAACTAAACAGAGAAGTGGTTTTTAAAATAACTAAATGGCTAAGATAGTAAAGTATACTTTTATCACAACTACCAGCTGGTCTAAGACACTACTGTGTCTTAACTGGCCAACTTCACTGGCCTAATAACTGTCCTCTCTTCCTCCAGTGGCCTTCCTGATAGGTTTTCTTGACCTATCTCTCACCTACATAAAATCTGATGGCTTTGTCTTGCACTTAGTCTAGAATTCAAAGCCCTTATTCAAAGCCCTGACTGACACTACAATATGTAATCAGTCTCCTACCTATATTTCAACCCCATCTCAGACCTCAGCCATCTAACTTACCACCCTGCAACTCTACAGTCCCCCTGGCCTTTTGGTTCCTCCAGCAAGCCAAACTGTCCCTATTTTTGGGCCTTTGCATTAGCTGTTCCTAATCCGTGAACCACACTTCCTTGTGATCTGCAAATAGTGGTACCTTCTTGTCATTCAAATCTCAAACTAAATGGTACCAACCTTCAAAGTCTTACCTGGATCACAAAGTCTAAAGTAGCCTCCCCTCAACCATTCTCTATCACATTACATTTTAATCTCTTCAAAAACTATATTCCTATCCGGTATTTTTCTTGTGTTCTTTTTTTTCTTGGCTGCCAGCCTCTACAGAATATGTTTCATGAGATCTGGGGCCAGACCTTGTATGATCATTATTGAGTCTCCAGTGCCATTAATTGTTTTTGATAATGTATTCCATTAATATTTGTTCATATAGAGAGATATATGTGTATTTTATACGTATATATATATATATATATATATATATATCTCACAATGACTATATATCAAATATAATTTGATGTTGCTATTAGGTTGGTACAAAAGTAATTACAGTTTTTCCCATTACTTACAATGGAAAAAAACATGATTACTTTTGCAGCAACCTAATAGTAAGTATGTTGGTAGATAGGATTAATAATTGCTAAGTGTAAATGTTCATAGATTTTAGTGATAAGCTTATCTGTATTTACAAGAAGTTTTTAACTTTTGTTATATCAACTTAGAAATTATAGCATAGCTTTGGATATACTTAATATGACTAGACAAATGTTAATTATCATTTCTCTAATCGCTAAACCAAGGCTTAGGCAGGAAATAATGGCTTCCGACTGGATCTATCCAAACCCTGTCTTAGGTAGAGAGAGAAAAGAAGTATCGATGAATCCATTTTTGTTTACTAGTAATCTTCTACTCTGAAGTAATCATATATTTAGAAAAAAAATAGGTAATGCTCCAAGTTGAAGCTAATCATTGGAGATAATCCATTCTCATGACCATGATAATGGAAACTGAACAGGTTATAATTTATTTGAAGCATTAAGTAAAACCTAGATTAGTTTTTTAAAAATAATGACAATACCCTCTTTTCATAATCACGTTTTTTGTTTCCTCTCACAAAATCTTTCAAAAATCAGGTTCAGCAAAGCTTACATAATGGCTTATCACATTAGAATTTAATAGGTTTTATGCACGAACACATACATAGTCAAAGTGGCAAGGAAGACTGTTATTTATAAACTCTCATATTATTTCTGAATTTGTGTTGCTCAAATAATGCTTTGTATATTCATTTTTAAGGAATTTTCCAGAAAAGTCTATGTGATAGAAGTGGTTACATGTACGTGTCTCATTTTAAAAACTCTGTGAGATGTTTTAGCAAAAGCTATACCAGCTAGAAGGCTCTCCTTGCCTTCTTAATAATTATTCTAAAAGCTGTAACACGTACAAAAGCTCTTGAATCTTCCCTAAGGACAAACTAATTTTTTATGTCAATCTCAGCTAGGTGGTAATACTGCCATTTTAGCATTTCCATTCTCTAGTGGGATGGGGATGAGGAAATTACACGCACAGAAGTCTAGGTGTCTGTCATCCTTCACTTAATGGCAGACATCCCTTGAAGGGGGGAATTTTTGAATGAACATCTTTTTAAATGTTAGAATCACAGATAAAAGACTTTTTTTATGTTTCAGATAAGCAAAGAAAAAGTTGCAATTTTAATTCCAGGAGGAATTCATATTTTCTTGCAACTCAATTTCACACAGCAATTAATTAACTGATTAGTATGAATAATTAATGCCATATTGTTAGTTTTATTGAAAATGGGGAGTGTAAGAAAAATGAGAGCATTTAGCCTCCAGGAGAGGATGGAAACCTAGAGTGCACAAAGGAGAAGACACTGGTGGCTATTATGGCAAGGACAGTAAAGAGGTGGTTGGATTTTCAAAACTTTCTAATTTTGTTTGAGGTTGCTTTAAGTTCCACAGATCACTGCAAATAGAAGTTCTAACCTGAAGAATGTTGGCATATGACCACAGAAGGCAGCTTATATCTTAATATCGATAATAGATGGAGTAAATTAGTGGACCTGGTAAACACTGGGGAGTGGGCAGACTCAACAGTTATAATATGATTATTGTACCTCTCACATCTAGGGGTAGTGACAATCATCACCACGATCACAGCAGGCGAATAATATCAATATGCATAGATTAGTATCTCCTGGCTTGGAATACATATATAGTTATGAAACCTCTATCTTACATGTACCTTATTTATTCTTTCAAAAGGCCTGAGCTTAAAAATGTGTTTTTCCCCTCCATAATTTCACACTATAATTTAGTACTGGAATACCAATCCTTCTAGCATATCTAATGAGTTTCCTTGGTCCTTTTTTTTTTTTAACGCTTTTGAACTTCATAAATAATAGTTAAATAAACTTAAGGCATTTGGACAATTTTTTTCACTTAATGTATTCAAATCCACAGTTGGCACTTCATTTCTTTTCATTTAAAAATAAATCTATCTTGTCTTGATAGGCTTTACATGAATATACACACCTAACAATATAAATCAAAACACATATCCAGAATGATGAGATCTGCTTGTTACCTTTATAAGAAATATGTCATTTTTCAGAAATGTCTCAAATCCTCTTTTTTATTAAGTCAATATATATTCTTAAGATAATTCATAGCCATACTGTATTTTAATAAGAATTTCCCAAAACGTTTGAATAATGTTTTTCAAGAGGATTTCCATATATAGATGAGTAACTCTTTAATATTTTCAAGGGCTTTTTCTTCAGAAGAGAAGTTTCGTGTCAACTATAGCTAATAGGTGATTTTATGTACACAATCTCCTGTGCATGCTTCTGTGCCTTTTATAGTGACATTTTAATGTTTGGAGGAAAACCTAGAAAATAATAACTATGACAGAATTTTGGCAAATCTTAAAACATAGTTCTGTAGATAACAGTGCATCTATCTAACATCTGCTCTTTTAGTTACAAAAGTGAAAACCAAAATGTTATTTCTATGAAAATCCAACCAGTCTCCCTTGAAAGAAAGCTGTGTGCCTTGGGAACAAACTGAGAATCGTAACTTAACCATCAAACCACATCAAAATAATCACAAGCTTCCAAAACTTGTTAGTCTTCTTAATTAAAAACAAATAAGGACTTACTTGCTTTGTTTTTCCATGCTAGCTACCCTGAGGCATTCCCATCTTGAATTTAGGAGATTCATCTGCTCTTGTACTTCAGTTTCTTCATCTTCTGATAATTTTCCTGTTCCAATCAGCTTACTTCCCAATTGTAGAATATTACCAACCCGGCCCTGATGGGCTGTCAAATCCATCATGTACCCCTGACAAAGAAGGAAGTTAACAATTGTAATTAGAACTCTAGGTAAATCGGTGTGGTTTTGAGTTTTATTTGTTTGCAGTTTTAAACTTGTGGCCCATTTAGATTTATATTCCCAGTAAAAGGAATTTAATTTGTATTTGCAGAATCCCAAAACCACTTTTAATATGAATTAAGGAAAATTATCTTAAGTCAAGTTCTTCAGAAGCAGGCCCCGAGATAAGGACTTCAGTGCAAGTGATTTATTAAGGAAGAGCTCCCAGGAAGTTCCGCAAGGGAGTTGAAGATGGAGGAAAAAGGACAGGGAAGGGAAAGAAGCCAAACGAGTGTATCATCTCAGGAAAAGTCTCCCACTGAGAGAAGTTAAGCCCAATACCATACATCAACTCAGGAATGTAAGTAATGCCTCAGCACTGCCTTGACACAAGAGAAAGAAGTTGGGCTTTCGTATTCCTGTTGGCCGATCAGGTAGAAATGCCTTCAATGGTTGCTCTCCAAAAGAAAACTTCAAAATCTGACTGTTGGAATCCCAAGCACATCATAGTAACTAAATTTCCAAAATACAAGGATGTAAGAGAGTAATTGAGGAAAAAGGATGACTTGCCATTATAACAAGTCATATGTTTTGTTTTGTAAATTAACGTTTTAGTTTACCTCATGAGTATGAAACTGGTCTTTCACCACTTCCACATCATTAGAAATCTCTCCTTGTGCTTGCAATGTGTCCTCAGCAGAAAGAAGCCACGATAATACTTCTTCTAAAGCTGTTTGATAACGGTCCAGGTTTACTTCACTCTCCATCAATGAACTGCCAAATGACTTGTCTTCAGGAGCTTCCAAATGCTGCACAATAAAATAAATTGGGTGTTACACAATTAATGTCTTTGCAGATTGTTCCAGTACATTAAATGATGAATCGAATGAAATATTTAAAATGCTAGGACTGTCCACTGGCATTATCAAACACAGGAACAGCAGATACAGACAATAGGGAGTTTTCATTTTAACTTCCTCATGCATACATCAATTTTCAAATAGCGGTCAAAATCCACACCAAATTAATATTGTATTAAAGCTCTTCTAGATTACTGGAAGGAGTAAATTAGTATATCACCTCATGTTGCTTTTTAAATGCTATAAATATTGATCTGTAGGAACTTTCCTCATTTCTTATTTATAATAACTTACATATACATTATCAGAATTATATTTACATACCTCTGCAATGGCATTAAAGGAAATATCTCTTCCTGAGAGGCCCTAGGTAATGAAATATTTCCAAATATTTACAGACCAGTAAAGGCATCAGTAAGAAAACAAGGAGGTAGGGGAAAGGAAGGCAAAATTTAGAAAGAAAAAAAATACCTCACCCACCCATCTAAAATTTCTAACAGCATAATGACTTCTGTGATTTAGCCTTTATTTCCAGAAGGCCACGATTTAAATAGTAAGACATTATCTTAGAAGAACTAAAATATGAAGTATGCTTTACCCAATTTAATTAGCAGGATATTAAGTGAGAATGCAAATGGTTGTCTTGGAATTTCCGTCTGGACCCTAAAGCCAAGAGCAAAGTGTACGAAGCATCCATAATTCTAAAGAGAAGATCCAGGGTACCTGTTAAAAAATTGCTAAGAAGTGATCACAAAATTGGTCTCACAACCCTTAATCCAATATCTAGCTTAAAGGTGTGTAAGAGCAAGCAAGGAGGTCGATTAGAAAAATCTGGTGAGAAAGGCTTCCTCTGGAGAGGCTGGAGCGCTCTGCGTGGCTCTAACTTCTCCCCATCTGAAGCCAAGTAATAGAGACGGGGTAGTTTACATGAGCTGTAAACCTGGCCATATGTTTGCAGAGATTTGCATGCTATAGGAACCATACACTCAAGTGACAGGAGAGGCTTCTTGGGATAAACTACATGTCTGCTGCTTTAACCTAAAGGCATTTATCAAGGGCAAAAATTTGAGTAAACTACTAAGTTTGCAGGAGGTTTTGCTTTGGGAGGAGTGTACTCCTTGCAGGTCGCCGGGCTTCAAAAATCCTGAGAACATGCTCAAGAGGGACTTTGCTGAGGTCAAGGACATAGGCATACTATTTACGGAGGTGAGCAGAACAAACAAATATTGGAGAAATATTTGTAGAAGAATCTTCTGCATTCCACAAATATTGCAAGCAAGCACGGGGCCCCCTAACAAACAGGGTTTTGTAAAGGAATCAAAAAGCAGTGTAGAACAACAGAAGCTGTTTGGGGGATTTCATAATCTCACCCAGAGAAAATTCAACCTTTGGTGGCTTTCCCCTGGTGTGTATGTGCTACATTTCCTGTCCTTCTCAGTTCTGGGAATTAACCCACTAAGCTGCCAGCACCAACTTACTTGTGCTCTTCTGATAAATGCTCAAATTTTGAAAATTCAATATTTTAAATTTCCCCAACTGTTAAGTCCTTCGAGATGACAAGGCATAGTGGCAGTTATTGCAATGACATTTTCATCAAATGATGCACTCTTTTTCCAGTTTCTATAAAAGTGGCAGAGAAAGGTCATCCTGGTAAGTCAAAATCACCGAACTTCATCATATCAAAGAGGGTAAGTGCACTGAAAGGGCTATTTGCATGGAACCCTTGTCTAACAGTAAGGCAATTTCTGAAGGTCTTAGGGGTTAGAACAACTTCCATGGTGTATCTCTTCCGTCTCTAAATACTATTAATAATAACTATCAAAGTCAGCATTAAGGGGGAAAATGATATAAAGGCAGCCTGAGAGATGTGCGCAGGTGGAACCAGCTTCACGTTTGTGCAACCTGAGCAGTTGCACAGGGCCCTGAGCGCAGAAGAAACACATGCCTCTATTATCTGCTGATACTATCCTGAAATTGTAAATAATTTTATTTTTGAATTTGTGTTTTAGAAGTGAAGTCCTATGTGCAATGAAGGATGCACATGCGCAGAGGAGACAGGTGGTATAATATGTGTATCTGTCCTATTTGCATATAGCATTTTCAATGCCCTAGAAGCACAGAAGTCTGGTGAGCTCACAGTAAGTTTAGTAAGATTCAAAGAATATGGCGTAAGTGTGTTATGTCTATAACTGAGTAAACAAGGTTGCTGGCAGCCCTGGGAGATAATGCTTCCTATCTGAACCAGACCCTGCTTCAAATGCAGCAAGAAGGCAATTTTTTCAAGAAAATACAAACGACCAAGAAACCCTATCATATCCTTTCCTACTCCTGTTATGTTCCTATATGAACCAACCACTTATGCTGAAATTGATGATATAGAAAGAAAGGGAATCTTGTGACTTTGGGAGTTACCTAGCCCTGCATAAGCCTTAGTTTCTGCTTCTGTAAAATGGGAACAATAATACTTCCATAATAAGATTGTGGTAAGAATTAAAGAGTGCATAATGCACTTCACAGAGTGACCTTGTATAACAACTAAATAAAGTATGTTACGGCTGTAATTATTATCAAATTCCTCTGCATATATAAGAAGTGTTTTGAAGCATAAATTGCCCCAAGATTACCTTCTTAAGTCACTGTTCAGGTTTCAGGAGATGGAAAATTATTGTCGAAAATACGCCCCCAAAAATGTGTAAGAGCAAACATTATTTAACTCTTTTTGAAATCTGAACCTTAACCTAGCTCGTATTTAAGAGTTCTTAAAAATCATTAACTATCTTGAGTTCAAATAATCTTCTCCAAACGAAGCATTGTAAACAGCACTAATACTCAAGTAACACAATACTTTACACTGTGCAATTTGAATCAAAATATTAAACACTTTATGATTTATTGATATTTACACAGGATTGAATTTTGGAAGAAAATATTAAAAGGTGTATACTTATACTCAAGGACATGACATCTAGTACTCAAATTCTGAACCTAAATATTTTGTCTGAGGATGTGCATAAAACAAAAACATTTCAAAGACAGCCTTCTTAAAGATAAATTCAAATCTGAATAAGCTATGCAAAATTTTATATTTATATCCATCAATTCAACTATATATATACAGAATTATAATCAAAATTTGAATTTAAGATCTGAGTAATTATTTGTCTAGATAGACTATTGTTTTTCAAATTGTAAGTCAGAATCCATTCATGGTTCATAAAATCATGTTAGTAGGTTATGACTAGGAATATTTTAAAATTAAACAGAAAAATAGTAGTCTGTGTCACTTATATAATACTAACAATTATTGTCTCAATTTTTGTTTCAGATGTGCATATGGGTTTATTTTGATATGTATATGTATATATGTTCTAAGGTGAGATTAAACTTTTTTCTGCAGTTTGTAAAACAAAATTGGAAATGGCTCTAGAATTTCAGACTAAGCAAACCGACGAAAAAAGAAATTTGCCTGAATTCTACATTTGTATATTTTCCATAGAGACCTTGGAATAAAAGACATTTTAAAATAAAACGATGTTTAATCTGAGAATTTGGAAATAAAGATATAAAAAGTGGCTTATGCTTTGTTTCAGCACCCCAAAATATGTTTTTATCATCACAGAATTTTACATTGTACCTAAGATTGGAGATCACTTCATACATGTCATGGCATCAAATGAAGAGATTTTCTAGGAAAGTTGGTTTTTGTTCTTTATAGATCTATTTATAAGAAAGATAGACCCCAATCGTTTCATGAATGAAGATGCCAGTATCATCAACTGGAACTAATTATTTTTCCTATGCTTCAATCCTATTTTGTCTTTATCACAGTAGTTTATGTTTCTCTTCAGTACATTGGGCAAATAATGATTACGATGAGAGGCATGACAGTGAATGGATGAAACGATTCTGTTTTTGTTTTTTTTTTTTCCCCCAAAATTGAGTACACTCAAATTTATTCAACGTTATCCACAGACTTCAGAGGCTTAATTACTGCCTGTTAGATTTAGGAAGTATTAGATATTGTCACCTATGTTCCTTGAAGACATCGCTCATTAAAAAAGGTGGAAGAGGCCGGGTGCGGTGGCTCAGACCTGTAATCCCAGCACTTTGGGAGGCTGAGGCAGGCGGATCACGAGGTCAGGAGATCGAGACCATCTTCGCTAACATGGTTAAACCCCGTCTCTACTAAAAATACAAAAAATTAGCCGGGCGCGGTGGCGGCGCCTGTAGTCCCAGTTACTCGGGAGGCTGAGGTAGGAGGAGAAAGGCGTGAACCCGGGAGGCGGAGCTTGCAGTGAGCCGAGAAAGCGCCACTGCACTCCGGCCTGGGCAAAACAGCAAGACTCCGTCTCTTTTAAAAAAAAAAAAAAAAAAAAAAAAGGTGAAAGAGCAGAAAGGAGAAAGGTAAAAAAATCAGGGATGATAAATGACTGTTTTAGTCCAGCAATGTCTAGAAAAATCTCTAGACACTCATTTCTGGAGACAATTTCTAGTCATAATTTCTACTCGTAGAATTTCTCTGACTAGAAATGGTTCTAATGAAGTATACAGCAATAGCCTTGATACTTCTGAATATATAAATATATTTTAAAATCCAGTTTACTATCTGTCTGATCTTGGGTATTTAACCTCTCTGCATCTCAGTTACCCCATCTATAAAACAAGAAAAATAAAAATATACGTACGTAAGGCTGCTGGAAAGATTAGATGAGATAGTGCATATAAAATGCTAAGCACATTCTAGATCCCAAGAAATGCTCTGCAATGCCTGTGTTTGGGGGCCAAAGTTCATTGAAATGATAAATGATTTTTATGGGGAAACAGGTGAATGAGCTCTGTGTGTTTCTGGAAGCATGATTTGGGCAATTCAAACTGAGATAAGTAATCAAGTGGCTACATGTAGGTAGTGAAACCAGCAGCCCAGCAAACCACAAAGCTCTTAGAAAAAATAGCTGGGACACTATGAGAGGGCACAGTCTATCACTGAGCAGTTTTATATCACTGATAAAATGGATTTTGGCAATTTATCTAAATTCAGCCTTAAAGTATGATACGACTGTTAACCTGGATCAAAAACAGTTTTATTGGTCTTGAATGCATAAATGCTTCAAGAACATTTGCAAATTTTATCATTCTCAGTTCATTTAAATGTATCATACTTCTTTTTCATGGAGTCTAAGTCAATGCATGGATGGTGAATTTTTTGGTGTATTCTATAATCTTTTTACCCCTCAGTAAAAGATTATTTCCAAGATAAAGGATTACAGAGGGATAACCAAGCGGTTCTTTCACTAAATAACAGAAGAGCATTTCTGAACAACCAGGATTAGTACCTGGAAATATTCTTGACACATTTCCGCTGTGTTTTCTCACAGATATAACACGTAAACCAAGGTACTATTCAAAGCATAAAAATGATTACTGAAGTGATTTATGAGAAATTAATCCATCATGCAACACTGTACATGACATTCAACCTAATGACACTATTAAATAGGTAATTTTTAATATAGATAGGGCCTGAAATTGAGTTCAAAGTTAAGCCCTAATGAGGATTTAGGAAAAATCATGGCCTGCTGTTAGGGCAACAATCAACAACAAATACAACTACTACCGCATATACAACAGCAATAACAACAGCTGCCATTATTTATTGAGTACTTAGTGTCAGTCAATTTGCTAATCACTTAACACGCATTATATCATTTTTCACTACAACAGATCAGGGTGATAGAAATTAGTAGGATGAGGAAATGGAAATAGAAAAATTAGATGACTTGCCAAAGGTCACAAAGGTAACTGGTGGTTCTGGGACTTAAAACCAGGTTGTTTGGATTCCAAAACACGTCTTTATCCCAATATGATCAATCTCTTTAAATGAAGAAAATGAATTAAGAGTCTAAGCAACAGCACTTTTAAAAAAATATAATATAACTTTTTTTTTTTCTGTTTTTTTGAGATTGAGTATTGCTCTTCCTGCCCAGGCTGGAGTGCAATGGTGGGATCTCGGCTCACTGCAGCCTCTCCCTTCTGGGTTCAAGCCATTCTCCTGCCTCAGCCTCCCGAGTAGCTGGGATTACAGGCACAAGCCACCACACCGGGCTAATTTTTATATTTTTAATAGAGACAGGGTTTCAACACGTTGGCCAGGCTGGTCTCAAACTCCTGACCTCAGGTCATCCGCCCACCTCAGCCTCCCAAAGTGCTGGGATTACAGGTGTGAGCCACGGTGTCCGGCCCTCACGTAACTTCTTAAAAATAAGTCAAAGTGTATTTTTTCTTAATTTCCACAAATTCAATCAATGGTTTGGAAGCTACTAGGAAAATACCTCGTCTTCATTACGTTGCTGAGTAGGAAATCAAATGTCAAGTCTAAATAATGCACGCAAGTCACAGACACTGATATCACACTGAGGAAGATACCAGAATACCAGAAAGACAGCAATGGGACACAGCCCAGATGGTAGTACAGACCCGGTAAATCCTCCATTATCCATGATGTCCTTATTTCACACTGCATGTCTGTATCAAAACATCTCATGTACCCCATAAATACATACACCTACTACGTAGCCACAAAAATTTAAAACATAATTTTAACAGTTTTTTAAAAACATAAACAGAAAAAGAAGTCAGAAGAAGCTGAGCAAAAAATAAAGCTAACAAATTCTTTCTAAAAGAAGGCATGTGTCAAGTCCACCATTCGAACTCTGCGCCTTCTGTTAATCCCTATGATTTGCCTTTGATGTTAAATGTCAGCAAATTTAACATTCTTCACTATTGCAGAACCACTCACAGAAATGCTACATTGTGCCTCCGATGCTCCAGTTAAGAAGACAAAAATGGGTATCATACGTACACATATGGGGTATTTTAGTTTTTAAAAATCTCATTCTATAGCCTATTAAACAAAAGGTTCTAGAGCCAAAAACATTAATCTTTTTTTTTATACTTTAAATACTAGGGTACATGTGCACAACGTTCAGGTTTGTTACATATGTATACATGTGCCATGATGGTGTGCTACACCCATTAACTCGTCATTTAACATCAGGTATATCTCCTAATACTATCCCTCCCCCCTCCCCCCACCCCACTACGGGACCCAGTGTGTGATGTTCCCCTTCCTGTGTCCAAGGGTTCTCATTGTTCAATTCCCACCCATGAGTGAGAACATGTGGTATTTGGTTTTTTGTCCTTGCGTTAGCTTGCTGAGAATGATGGTCTCCAGCTTCATCCATGTCCCTACAAAGGACATGAACTCATCCTGTTTTATGGCTGCATAGTATTTCATGGTGTATATGTGCCACATTTTCTTAATCCAGTCTATCATCGATGGACATTTGGGTTGGTTCCAAGTCTTTGCTATTGTGAATAGTGCCGCAATAAACATACGTGTGCATCTGTCTTTATAGCAGCATGATTTTTAATCCTTTGGGAATATACCCAGTAATGGGTATATTACTGTAATGGGATAAAATGGGATGGCTGGGTCAAATGGTATTTCTAGTTCTAGATCCTTGAGGAATTGCACACTCTCTTCCACAATGGTTGAACTAGTTTACAATCCCATCAACAGTGTAAAAGTGCTCTTATTTCTCCACATCCTCTCCAGCACCTGTTGTTTCCTGACTTTTTATTGTTCACCATTCTAACTATGTGCAATGGTATCTCATTGTGGTTTTGATTTGCATTTCTCTGATGGCCAGTGATGATGAGCATTTTTTTCATGTGTCTGTTGGCTGCATCAATGCCTTTTTTGAGAAGTGTCTGTTCATATCCTTTGCCCACTTTTTGATAGGGTTGTTTTTTTCTTGTAAATTTGTTTGACTTCTTTGTAGATTCTGGATATTAGCCCTTTGCCAGATGATTAGATTGTAAAAATTTTCTCCCATTCTGTAGGTTGCCTGTTCACTATGATGGTAGTTTCTTTTGCTTTGCAGAAGCTCCTTGGTTTAATTAGATCCCATTTGTCAATTTTGACTCTTGTTGCCATTGCTTTTGGTGTTTTGGACATGAAGTCCTTACCCATGCCTATGTCCTGAAAGGTATTGCCTAGGTTTTCTTCTAGGTTTTTATGGTTTTAGGTCTAACATTTAAGTCTTTGATCCATCTTGAATTCATTTTTGTATAATGTGTAAGGAAGGGATCCAGTTTCAGCTTTCTACATATGGCTAGCCAGTTTTCCCAGCACCATTTATTAAATAGGGAATCCTTTCCCCATTGCTTGTTTTTCTCAGGTTTGTCAAAGATCAGATAGTAGTAGATATGTGGCATTATTTCTGAGGGCTTTGTTCTGTTCCATTGGTCTATATCTCTATTCTGATACCAGTACCATGCTGTTTTGGTTACTGTAGCCTTGTAGTATAGTTTAAAATCAGGTAGTGTGATACCTCCAGCTTTGTTCTTTTGGCTTAGGATTGACCTGGCAATGTGGGCTCTTTTTTGGTTCCATATGAACTTTAAAGTAGTTTTTTCCAATTCCGTGTAGAAAGTCATTGGTAGCTTGATGGGGATGGCATTGAATCTATAAATTACCTTGGGCAGTATGGCCATTTTCACAATATTGATTCTTCCTATCCATGAGCATAGAATGTTCTTCCATTTGTTTGTGTCCTCTTGTATTTTGGTGAGCAGTGGTTTGTAGTTCTCCTTGAAGAGGTCCTTCACATCCCTTGCAAGTTGGATTCCTAGGTATTTTATTCTCTTTGAAGCAATTGTGAATGGAGTTCACTCATGATTTGCCTCTGTCTGTTATTGGTGTATAAGAATGCTTGTGATTTTTGCACATTGATTTGTATCCTGAGACTTTGCTGAAGTTGCTTATCAGCTTAAGTAGATTTTGGGCTGAGACAATGGGGTTTTCTAGATATACAATCATGTCATCTGCAAACAGGGACAATTTGACTTCCTCTTTTCCTAATTGAATACCCTTTATTTCCTTCTTCTGCCTGATTGCCCTGGCCGGAACTTCCAACACTATGTTGAATAGGAGTGGTGAGAGAGGGCATCCCTGTCTTGTGCCAGTTTTCAAAGGGAATGCTTCCAGTTTTTGCCCATTCAATATGATAGTGGCTGTGGGTTTGTCATACATAGCTCTTATTATTTTAAGATACGTCCCATCAATACCTAATTTATTGAGAGTTTTTAGCATGAAGGTTGTTGAATTTTGTCAAAGGCCTTTTCTGCATCTATGGAGATAATCATGTGGTTTCTATCTTTGGTTCTGTTTATATGCTGCATTATATTTATTGATTTGTGTGTGTTGAACCAGCCCTGCATCCCAGGGATGAAGCCCACTTGATAATGGTGGATAAGCTTTTTGATGTGCTGCTGGATTCGGATTGCCAGTATTTTATTGAGGATTTTTGCATCAATGTTCATCAAGGATATTGGTCTAAAATTCTCTTTTTTTTGTTTTGTCTCTGCCAGGCTTTGGTATCAGGATGATGCTTGCCTCATAAAATGAGTTAGGGAGGATTCCCTCTTTTTCTATTCATTGGAATAGTTTCAGAAGGAATGGTACCAGCTCTTCCTTGTACCTCTGGTAGAATTCGGCTGTGAATCCATCTGGTCCTGGACTTTTTTTGGTTGGTAGGCTATTAATTATTGCCTCAATTTCAGAGCCTGTTATTGGTCTATTCAGGGATTCAACTTCCTGGTTTAGTCTTGGGAGGGTGTATGTGTCCACGAATTTATCCATTCCTTCTAGATTTTCTAGTTTATTTGCGTAGAGGTGTTTACAGTTTTCTCTGATGGTAGTTTGAATTTCTGTGGGATCGGTGGTGATATCCCCTTTATTATTTTTTATTGCATCTATTTGATTCTTCTCTCTTTTCTTATTAGTCTTGCTAGCGATCTATCAATTTTGTTGATCATAACCAGCTCCTAGATTCATTGATTTTTTAAAGGGCTTTTTGTGTCTCTATTTCCTTCAGTTGGGCTCTGATCTTAGTTATTTCTTGCCTTCTGCTAGCTTTTGAATGTGTTTGCTCTTGCTTCTCTAGTTCTTTTAATTGTTATGTTAGGGTGTCAATTTTAGATCTTTCCTGCTTTCTCTTGTGGGCATTCAGTGCTATAAATTTCCCTCTACACACTGCTTTAAATGTGTCCCACAGATTCTGGTATGTTGTGTCTTTGTTCTCATTGGTTTCAAAGAACATCTTTATTTCTGCCTTCATTTCGTTATGTACCCAGTAGTCATTCAGCAGCAGGTTGTTCAGTTTCCATGTAGTTGAGTGGTTTTGAGTGAGTTTCTTAATCCAGAGTTCTAGTTTGATTGAACTGTGGTCTGAGAGACACTTTGTTATAATTTCTGTTCTTTTACATTTGCTGAGGGGTGCTTTAACTTCCAACTATGTGGTCAATTTTGGAATAAGTGTGATGTGGTGCTGAGAAGAATGTATAATCTGTTGATTAGGGGTGGAGAGTTCTGTAGATGTCTATGAGGTCCGCTTGTTGCAGAGCTGAGTTCAATTCTTGGATATCCTTGTTGACATTCTGTCTCACTGATCTGTCTAATGTTGTCAGTGGGGTGTTAAAGTCTCCCATTATTAACGTGTGGGAGTCTAAGTCTCTTTGTAGGTCTATAAGGACTTGCTTTATGAATCTGGGTGCTCCTGAATTGGGTGCATATATATTTAGGATAGTTAGCTCTTCTTGTTGAATTGATCCCTTTACCATTATGTAATGGCCTTCTTTGTCTCTTTTGATCTTTGTTGGTCTAAAGTCTGTTTTATCAGACACTAGGATTGCAACCCCTGCCTTTTTTTGAAAAACATTAATCTTAATTCCTACATTAAAAAAATGGCTCTGGCAAAGATTGCTCATCCTCCAATATGTATCTTTCTTCACCCTTTATGTAGTATTAGAAAGTTTAGGGGACAATTTGGCTATCTAGAAATGTCACTACAGTTCCCACTTTCCCTTGCAGTTAGATGTGGCATGTAACCAAGTATTGGCCAGTTGGATATAACGCATCCAACTTCGTCATTAAGACGTAAATGGGCATAGATATGCTCTCTTCTTCGTCCTCCCTCCTGAAGGTCGTGATACACACATGAAGCTGGTGAGCTATCCTCAACCGTGACTACGAAGACAGCGTCCCAGGGGATGATCGAAAAACTGGGCAACAGGACTATGGATCCCTGAATGAGCAGAGACTTCCTACAAGGCCTCCATCACTCCCATCTACACAACATTTAAGAGAAGTAAGTCTGAAAGAGAAACAAACTCATTTTTTAGTTCATCCATCCTTGTGTTTTTGTTAGTGCCACGAAACCTACAGCAATCTCATATACTGATATACTCTAATTTTCTAGCAGCTGAGATTTTACTATAAAAATGTATCTGTAAAAGCTTATATGTGAGTTTAAAATAAACTTTCTACTATAAAATCAGATGTCTCTCTAAAACTCTACTCTGTCTCTCTAAAACATACTCTCAATGAAGGTTCCAGTCATTTTGCTTCATCGTTTTTCAAGTCACATACCTTTAGATATTACACTAACCCTTGCATTGTAGGAAGGCGGGGACACTGACCCCGTGCCTAACAGCACAGTACACAGATAATAAATATTTACTAAATTGTTTGGGGTAATTTTAATTTCTTATTTAAGGTCATTTGTGCTTCCAATTTCAGGTTTTATATAAAATATGTTTTAACCAATCAATACCTTGAAAATGGAGTAATATGGCATAAAATATTCATAGTTTCAAATATATGTCTTCCCAATATTCCTATTCATATTTCATATGTGTTTATACATATATACATATTCACATACATATATAGTATACCAACTTATATGTGTGTGTGTGTGTGTGTGTGTGTGTGTTTTCTTCCTCTAATTTCTCTAATTCTACCATTTATATCTTTGGGTATACATTTACTTTCTAACTTATTTTATATTTTATTCCTTTATTTTTTCCTGTACTTCACCTGAGACTTTCTGTCTTGGCTATTATAATCCACACAATAGAACCTTTCTCATAAAATCAAGAAGGAAGAAAAAGAAATAAGCACTGTTATGGCAAATTCTCCTAAATCAATGGAAGGTCAGAGAGAAAATAATAGAAGATTTAGAGAAATGTACCTAGAACAATTTAATAACCCAATATAAAAGATTTCTTTTTAAAAGCAAGTTTATAATAAAATTTTCATAAGCATCAATAAAAAAACTTTCTCAGAAATTTATTAGATGGCACATGAAAGACGTCTAGCCTAGTGATTTCTTTGTTCTTACTGTTTCATATAATTCTTACAAACACCCTAAAAGGGGGGACCTATTTCCAAGATGAGGATGAGGAAATCCAAGTCACACCTATGAGGTGTGGGAGGAAAAATGGGATACCCAGTAAACAAACCGACATTCCTTGGCTGACAGAGATTCATGAAGTCCAGAGAAGAAGGATGAACATAATAACTCTGTACTGTTTGGTGGATGTTTCAATAATTTTAAAAGTCAGTATTTGGTTGGAATTCATATGAGTTGGTAATTGAAACGAGATTTTGTAAAAGTACTAAATTTAATTTAAAATAGGATAGTTACAAAATGTCTCAGAAGACCAAATAAATTCTTAATGTTATTTTCCTTAATCCTAAGTTTAACAATTTTATTAATTTTCAAATACGTCTCATGGAAAAACACCAAGTCTTATTTATTTTAATCAGTCATTTATAAATAGGAAAAAAATGATTCACTGGATACTTTTAAAATGCAAAATAATTCAGAAGTAAACTGCTTTAGACAAGTGGTTTTTACATACCAAAAAAATCAAAACAAAATACACATATCTCGTGAAAACTTATTATTTCAAATTGACATATACTGCACTTAAATAATATTCCTCTAGAATGACCGTAGTCCATAGAGTTTGTAATTGCATATACAAATTAATTGTGAGCTATGAGGAGAACCTAAACATAAATATTCCCATGTAGCCCGTTTTGGAATTTTGCTTTTTTTCTCATCATTTATAATATTCTTAGCTATGTACTCATTTATTCCACAAGTCTATATGTAAAGAAATTAGAAGTTAGCACAAGAGATGTCCCCAAAATATAGAAACTTATCTACACTTACACTAATTTCAGTGAAAATCTTATTCTTCCTGTTATTTGATCCAAGACTCCTTAACCTTAAGCTTTTTTCTGTAAAGGGCTAGATAATAGGTATCTTCAATTTTGCAGACCACTAAAGACCAGATGCCCCCAACTCAGCTCTGTCACTGCAAATTGTAGCCCCAAAGCATCTGGAGACAATACATTAAGTGAATAAACATGGATGTGTTCCAATAAAACTTTATTTACAAAAATCAGGTAGCAAGTCTATTTTCACCCTCAGGCCATAGATTGCTATCTCCTGATGATGAAATTGCTTCCCACATTTAAACTAATTTCTCTGAACTTCTCACTGTTGATTATCTTTCCTCTCTCCAATCTCTCCCCCTCCAATTGATTCTCATTGGGTCACTTTCCCACTCTATTGCATGTCCAAGCTAGCCATCTCTGAAATCTCACTGCCCTCCCCCTGCCCTACCTCCATTGCTGTATATAACAATGTCTCAAAGAAATCATGCTGCATAAAACCAGTGGCCGCATTCGGGAAACTTTAAGTCGGCCTCACTTTGGAGTAAAATAAACATGAGGTCAAATTCAGGTTCTGGAATTTATAGGTAGTGTGTACTTGAACTTGGCAAAGTTTTTTAATTTCACACTCTTGGTACACACCTGAAAATAGATATGATACTAATTTAGAGGGTAATTGTAAGGCTCACAGACAACATACAGCGATTGTATTGACATTCAGCATCACCCTTTGCCATTCAACTTTTATAAAATCACTTTCACTGCCTCATTGTTTTTATTTAGTGCAACCCAGAATAGAGAACTAACAACAATAAAGAGGAGTTTGGTTCAATTAGATTTTAGGTTGTAAAAATATTCTACTAAATTGACACATCTTTTCTAACTAGGTAAATTTTCTCCAAGGACATTAGCTATATTCACCTCCTTAACATACACCAGTTGCTTGGTTTATCCCGTTACCTTTCACATATATCACTAAATTCTGTGTGCTTTCTCTTTATTTATGTTACATACCTTTGTCTCTTTTCCTTATTCCTTAAACAAAGATGTGGTATATCCTTCATAAGGGAGAGAAATCCCTATGGGGGAACTAATGGGTAGCTTCCTGTCTCTACTTCTTGGGCATCTATAGTGCTTCTGTGGGATAGTTTCATTATTAAAATTAGGGAAATAATATAAATAACTAGTGAGCTAATTAGGAAGACAATTATAAGGGTGTGATTGTGGAAATGGGGAAGTTCTTTTATGAGAGGTGATGTAGCATCTCGGAAGCCTCACGACAGTAGACAGTTTATTTTGTTCAGCACCTGACATACAGTATAACATACTATATGTTTGTTGAATACAATAATGTGTCTCTTAGCATATGACATGTAACAATATTCCATTTTACCTTATACTGATATGAGGACATTTTTTTTCCTAAGAGAATTAGACCAAGGCATCTTTCCATGACAGAGCAGGGACAAGAAATGACACAAACTCCACTTGTTTATTTCACTTACTGCCTTCTTCAATGCAGTGTTGGCTTCCCTATTCAAGGAAAGAGATTCTTGGAATCTCTTCCTATTCCTTTCCTATTCAAGGAAAGGTCTTCAGAGCCTGCCATTTCAAAGAATGGTATTAATTCTTGGGAAGACTCTGGTAGATTTCATTAACACCTGCAAATTCCACCCTCTGCCTCAAGGAAAGTAATAAAAGTCCTCTATCCTGTTGGCTGAAAGCAGTGGAAAGTTCTTCAATTTTATCATTGGCTCCTAATAGGAGTAATCATGCTTCAGGGTCTGTATCTCTGTGTCCCATAGACAACTAAAGCTTTTGATCTTAGGGTTCATAGAACTGAGAAGAACGCAGTAAGTCTTTTGCATTTCAGAAAAATAAAAGTATGAAACCTTTTGATAAGTTTCCATCTCTTGTTATACTAACATTACTTCTCATATTTTCAAGTAAAAAAAAAACTCAAAATCAGGGTGGGCTAAGTGATAAGAGCAATCACTTCTGATTTGGTGAAGATACTAGAAGAGGATTAAAGGATATGTACAGATATGTGTATATTACCAACTGAGGAAATGGAAGCATGAGCAGAAAAGCGAAACAGAACCCTAAGTGAGGTGAACATAGAAAGTAAACGTCCTAAAGTCATAAACAGAGACAAAACCTCACTGAAAGTTTTCACTTATAATATTTTTAAACAGATTTGACATTTCTTTCCATTTATTTTCTGTAGGTATAGAATATTTTATAACTGACCTATTTATAATGGGACTACCACCAAATATCCATTTTTAAAATGCTCTCTCCATAGCATGAATGTCTTATAAAATCTAGTCTCTTTCTTAATATTGTTAATACAGAAGCTTCTCCTTCAAAGATTGAAGGTTTTTTTCTGCTTTTGGAAATAATTTGAGAAATAACATAGTACTCACAGCCACTTGCCAACCTGAAAATGTTCAGCATTTATGTAACACTTGACCTTTTCAAAAATAAAGTACATAACTCAATCTTTTCAACTACTTTGCCATGAGATGTCCAGAACATTTCTGTGTAGTAAAATAGATTTCCTAGGTTACTCTGATTTTGCTGACAAAGATTTTAAGTATTCTACTACTTAAGATAACATAATCTATAAACACACTTTAGTGTTCATAGACATAGCAGCACATCAAGAGCACCAAAAACGCTAATAAATAAGAGAGAGGCCTGACATTATGCATCCTATTAAGGATCTCTGATTTTCCACAGAAGATATCAAGTACCATATATTACATCAAATTATCTGAAAACCTGTATATTAAAAATTGGTAAAGTTTATTTCTTTCTTAATTCTTAAATAAGCCTGTGAAGAGACATTATAATATGTCCTTCTAGAACCCCAGTTCATCGTGTGTATCTCCTAAGTGGGTGCTATCCACTGTGTAGACTGTGCTTTAAATTATAATGCTGTCTTCATCATCTAAATTCTTTTAGAATTTACCACCAGAACTGAAGTATAGTGAATTAAGTGTTTACCATTTGTGAGGGATGGTGTAAGCACTCCACTAAATCATCTAATTTAACCTCACAACATAAGGGATGATTATTGTCTACATTTTACTATGAGGAGACCTGATTCATAAAGGTTAGAAACTTGCCCAAGGTCGAAGAGCTAATAAAAAGCAGAGATGGGAACTGAATTCAGTATCTGTCTCACGAAATCCTGAATATTAACTTGTTGCCAGACTTTTTTGTAATAACTCAAGGGGAAGAAACATTTCCCAGAGATAGCTAGATTTATAAAATTTAATTTAAAAATCAAAATATAATAATGTGTTATATTTTATGTGAATGTGATCATTCTAAGTCTCTCATACACTCACAGAATTGTGGATAGATTTCTTTGATTCATCCAGTCTTTTTCACCCTTAGAAATTTCTGTGACCAATTTTATATGTTTATAATATGATTGTATATGGCATATAATTTTTGCATTCTAAACAGATAGCTTGTCTATATAAAAATAAAAAATGAACTACCATAAGTTTCATTAGCACAATGCCTTAAAATTTACTCACATTTTAAATTTTAAATCAGTACATAAAATATAGATACAATGAAATATGCAGCAAATATTACTGGGATTTTGTTGGTATATAATCATACCCGAAACCTGTCAAAACTTAAAACACACCCATTGGTACATTTCAACTTATTTGTTCTACTTTGGAAAGCAGAAATGGAAAGAAACAGAATAAACAGAAATACCTTTTTGTCACATAGTGAGATAATCAATACTATGTTTAAAAACAAAGTTTCTTTATATTTTCAAAATAGCCTCTAGTGGAATCAGCTACCATATTCTTGATTTGCATAATACTTATAAATTTCCTACAAACTCAGTACATATTCTATTTGGAAGTTTTTATATATAGGCTTTATATTACACTAAAAAGGTCATCAAATTATTGCCACGTCCATAAATTAAAATATGTTAAACTCCAAATATGAAAGTACGGCAGCTCTTCAAAAACCTTAACATAAAGGTAAATTAAAATTATGCAAATTGAGTAGAAAACTCATGCAGAAACTGTAAATCTGGAATAGGGAAGCCATTTAAGGTAAAAGAGAAATCGTCACAAGTATGCTTAGAATTTCCTGATTTAGAAATAGTGGGACAAAATACAATCCTACCTATCAAGCTTTTCAGATAATAACATTGTGCCTAGGCCTGAAAGTACATGCATGACATTTGTTTGAAAGGATTGTGATTGCCTTGTAAACTTCTTTTACAAATTTATTAACACGGGTTGTTCCGTATAGTTGGCCAACATTGCTTATTTCTTCCACTGCCCTACAACAACCATAAACTCCCAATTATTCTGGGAGTAGTTTATCAGAGTACAGATTATCTGGAGGTGTTATTTCTCTTTCATTTGGCCTTTCACAGCTCATTAGTACCTCAACAAGAAAGTTAAGGCAAAGGATGGAAAGGCTGCAGAATTTCTAAACAAATAAATTTGCTCCTTGTCAGCAGCATATACAGAACAGCATTTAGAGATATCACACAAAATAACTAAAATGGGATAAACAAAGATATTTAATGTATACTGTGGCAATTTTCCTTGAGTGATTTTTCCCTCTGTACTGTCAAAAATATTGACTGAATTGACTGTAGGTTTTGGCATCCAACAGACCTCAAAGTCCTTTGTTTTTAGCATGTAATTGACCATCTTTAGCGATATCACCTGCCATTGAGTAATGCATTACATTTGTTGCCAATATATTGACTATTTTTCAATGTGAAGACAAAAACTGAAAACCAAATTTGCAAAGGAAGATTGATGATAATCTTGAGTGGAGTCTACTAGAAAGCTTGTTTGATTTTAGGCTTGCCAATGCATTCGATGCCATCAGCACAGGGATATCTATCCTTGCCTTGAGGAGAAATAAGGGAATCAGAAAATTAAGGCTCTTTTAGTATCTACTCATTAGAGGTGATATATCCTTAATCATGAAAATAATAATGTGTTATATCCATTATTATTTTGCTTTTTAATAAGAATGTAAGATATCCATAATCAATTGGTAAACTTATCTTTGTCTAGCCTATCTACTGGCAATTGAACAAATAATAAAAAAACTTCAAATAGATAATTTTTTACAAAATTATTTTAATTACAGACTTGCCAGGTAGAAGAGCAACTAACAAAAGAGCCTTTATACATTCAATACATCATAACTTCATTTATTTTATAGAGAAGAGCTTGAAAATCATATGGAATTCTGGCTCTGTCACTTAGTACAAATAGTGTTGCTTTAACAAATATTTATTAAGCAACTACAAAGGACCAGGCACTATTTTAGGCAATGATGATATAGCCATATACAAAACAGACAGAAATCTAAGTTCTCATTCAGTGAATCATGTCACTGAAGGCATGCTAATCAAGAGAAATAAGTAAAATAGAAGGATGTAAGTGTTATGGAGAAAAGGAAGCAAGGAAGGGGAATTGAAAGTACTAGGGAAAATATCATTGAGAAAAAGATTTAAAGATATGAGAGAGTAAGTCATGTGAGTATGTGGAGGAAATGTGTTCCAGGTAGAGGCATCTATGACTGCGGTGGAATGAGAGACGGTAACAACGGTGGAAAAGGAAGCCAGAGAAGAAACATAGAGAAAGGAGGAGGTGATTGTGCATGGGCTTATAAAACAGCAGGACTGCATTTTACTGAATGTCTGGCAAGGCATGGGAAGGTTTTCAGCAGAAGAGTGATGTGATTTGCCTTACGTTTTAACAAGACCATCTGGCAGACAAAATGGATTACAGGTAAGGCAAGGCCAAAGCAGGCAGGCTTGTTTAAAAGGCTATTTCACTAATTTAGACCAGAGGTGATGGTGGTGGCCATGTAAGTAGTCAGAAGTGATCAGATTCTGGATATATACCTGGTTAAGGTGGACCTGGCATAGGTTTTTTTTTTTTTTTTTTTTTGAGATGGAGTCTCGCTCTGTCACCCAGGCTGGAGTGCAGTAGCGCGATATCCGCTCACTACAAGCTCCGCCTCCCGGGTTCACGCCATTCTCCTGCCTCAGCCTCCCGAGTAGCTGGGACTACAGGCACCTGCCACCACGGCCGGCAAATTTTTTGTATTTTTAGTAGAGACGGGGTTTCACCGTGTTAGCCAGGATGGTCTCGATCTCCTGACCTCGTGATCCGCCCGCCTCGGCCTCTCAAAGTGCTGGGATTACAGGCGTGAGCCACCGCATCCGGCCAAACCTGGCATAGTTTTCTAATCAACAACATCAGGTGTGAGAAAGAACAAGACTAAGTTTGACTCAAAGATGTTCATTTGGGGCAACTGGAAGGCTATAGTGAAACCTTACTGACACAGGAAAAACTATTGACGAAGCAGATGTGGGTGTTAGTAAATTTAGTTTTACATAGGGTAAATTTGAATTGACTAGGAATGTATAAAAAGTTGTGTATCTAAGTTTGGAGTTTGGCAGAAAGCTCTGAGCTGGGGGTAAACATTGGGAGGCATCAACTTACAGACAGTATTTGATGCCAGGAGGCTAGATAAGATCATCGAGAAAATGAATGTGGTCTAAGAACCAACCCCTGGTTACTGTCATATCAGGAATTTGTGTTGATGGGGAAGAACCAGCAAATTAAAATCAAAGCAGATGCTAGAAAAACAGGAAGAAAACCTGGAATGTGTGGTGCCTTAGAAATCAAAGAGGGGAAAGTAAATGCATGTCTCAAATCCTCCTACATTTACTTAAGTTACTTAATTTAGGTAGTACATATAAGGAATCTCACATTGTGGCTAGCATACTGTAAAAACTTAATAAATGTTTGTTGAACAAATTATGTGTCATTTCATAACCCAACCAACATATATCAGGATACTGGTTGTGATATATGCAGAATACATTTGGCAATTGAGTGTTACCAATATATTATCAAACATGCTAGAGAAGTGTAGTGTACCGAGAATTAAGAATATGGGCTGTGGAATCAAAATATCTAGACTCAAATTCTTTTCTGTACCACTGAACCTTAGTGTTCTCGTCTGAAAATGGGAATAACAAGAATATAAACTCCTAATGTTGGTAAGCTAAGTTAAACATGTTAATAATATACATACAGCATGGAAGAACCTGGTCTTCAGTAAATCCTCAACAAATTTTGTTATTGTGCCAATTAAGGCACACTTAAGAAGCAATGTCTTATGTATTCAATTAATACTAAAATGAGCACATATTGTGGATTCATGTATCAACTATGTATTAATCACTCACTTAGATCACAATGGATATAAAGAATAAAAGAGCTGCCCTCAAGGAAATCATAGTCCAGTGGAGGAAACCTACAAGTAAGCAAAAAATATATGTGCTCTCATAAGAACACGTCCAAGAAGAAATGGAAGCATTGAAAAGGGAAGCGAAATATGAACTGAGAAGTAGGAATTTTTACACACTACTAAGACCTTGTCAAGTTAGTGTCTTCCCTTATGGCGCCATGTCTAATACACTCAGCGTTGTTTCATCAACGTGTTTTCCCGGTAATCTTTTGGGGGAATTGACAGTCAAACCATGAACATTGGTACTACATTTATATTTATGAAAGATCATTCTGGATGCAGTGTGGAGAATGATCTATGGAAGATGAGGGCAGCAAGACCAGTTAGATATCCAGTGAATGACAGTATGTAATAGTCAGAACCTGACTGCTGCCATAAGAACTCAAGAACTGTTGAAAAAATGAATTGATGAGATATATACTGAGGACTTCAACAAAACAGAAGTAGGGAAAGAGGGGGAGATGACAGACTTCTGACATATATGATCTTAGAGTGTATTGGACGTGGGCACTATAAATATGACAAGGACAGTACAGTTGTTGAGAATGATTCCTAGGTGTCTTTTTTTATTATTATACTTCAAGTTCTGGGATACATGTGCAGAACGTGCAGGTTTGTTACATAAATATACATGTGCTATAGTGGTTTGCTGCACCCATCAACCCGTCATCCAGGTTTTAAGCCCTGCATGCATTAGGTATTTATCCTAATGCTCTCCCTACCCTTGCCCTCCACTCCCAGACAGGCGATGGTGTGTGATGTTCCCCTCCCTGTGTCCATGTGTTCTCATTGTTCAACTCCCACTTATGAGTGAGAACATGCGGTATTTGGTTTTCTGTTCCTGGGTTAGTTTGCTTAGAATGATGGTTTCCAGCTCCATCCATGTCCCTGCAAAGGACAAGAACTCATTCTATTTTATGGTCGCATAGTATTCCATGTATATGTGCCACATTTTCTTTATCCAGTCTATCATTGATGGGAATGGTCAGGAGTTCGAGACCAGCATGGCCAACATGGTGAAACCCTGTCTCTACTAAAATAACAAAAATTAGCCAGGCGTGGTGGTGGGTGCCTGTAGTCCCATCTACTTGGGAGGCTGAGGAAGTAGAATCGTTGAACCTGGGAGGCAGGGGTGCAGTGAGCTGAAATTGGGTCAATGAACTCTAACCTGGGCAACAGAGCAATAATCTGTCTCCAAAAAAAAAAAAACAGCAAGCAAAGACAAAGCAAGGTTTTGTGAGGCAAGGAATTCAAAACCACCATATGACCCAAGAATCCCTCCTTCTGGGCATATACACAAAGGAAAAAATAACACAACCTTGTAAAGATATCCGGGCTTCTATGCTCATTGAAGCATTGTTCACAGTAGCCAAGATATGGAAACAACGTTTAAGTATCCATGGATAAATGATTAAAGACATTATGGCATATATGCAATTGAATATTATTCAGTCCTTAAAAAAAGAATGAAATCTTGCCATTTGCTACAACATGGATGAGCCTAGAATACATTACACTAAGAATTTAAACCTTGGATGACATCAATGAGCTCTAGAACTCCTCATGCGTAGAAATCACCCTACATTTGACTTTCAGTTTATTTAACAGGTAACAACTTCTGGTTATTACTGGCCCGGAAGACGTTTGTAGTAAACAGAAGAGACAACTGTCTCTGTCCTCATGGAACTCACACTTTTGTGTGATTATACAAGCAATAAATAAATAAATTATATTGAACAAAAAAAAGTTTGTTCCAAATTATATTTGCAGCCACTTTATGAATAAATTGTTGAGCTTAGTGCTGTGTGACACGATAAATTGGAGGATTAAGAAATGCATTAAGCAACACCAACAAGGGAGTACAAATATTATATTTAACCATCATATTTCATTGGACCTTAAGTGCCATTCTTCTAGTTTTATGGAGGAAATGTATTAGGACATGATAATCATCTAATACTGCACTAAATATTGTAGTTTACTGTTACTGAAAGCATAAGATGGAAATCCTAGGGGTCAACATTATGTGACAGAAAAGATCACATGTATAATATTTGTCTTTTCTACATTTTGTCTATTTGACACTGGGTCGGCTACACCTTCGCTTAAAAGTTCTCACCATTCTCTGCTTTTGTGTTTTTTTTTTTTTTTTTTCCAGTTTTCTACTCAAGTCAGATAATGGTAAATCTAATTGCATCTTGATGAGCTACTTAAAAATACCCTTAAGGCTGGGCACTGTGGCTCATGCCTGTAATCCCAGCACTTTGGGAGGCCGAGGCGGGCGGATCACCTAAGGTCAGGAGTTCAAGACCAGCCTGGCCAACATAGCAAAACCTTGTCACTATTTAAAAAAAAAAAAATACAAAAATTAGTCGGGCATGGTGGCAGGTGCCTGTAATCCCAGCTACTAGTGAGGCTAAGGCAGAAGAATCGCTTGAGCCCAGGAGGCGGAGGTTGCAGTGAGCCGAGATTGTGCCACTGCATGCCAGCCTGGCGACAGAGGGAGACTCCATCTCGGGAAAAAAAAAAAAGTACACTTAAATGACATACATTTCATCTCAGAGCCTAAGTATAATTTGAAGCATTTCAAATTGCTGGCCCATTTGCTTATCAAATCTTGTTATATTTTTGAATCACATTTCATTGTTAAACACCCTCAGTGTATACACTCATATGTCCCTATGCCTATCAACTTTGTGGACTGAGACAAGAATATTTTTTTTACCTCAAGTGTAAGAATGTAATCACTATCAAAACTCAGACTATTTACTGATGTTTTTCTAAATGGAATAGTCTGTTGCATTATTCAGTCATGAGAAATCATGTTTTTGACAGGGCTTGTTTCTCAAGTTGGCTTAAAAGGTTCCTTCGCATCTCTGCATTATTCACACATTGCTGTAGAAGGTGCTAAAAACTTGGCATCAGGAGACAGAGTCCTACTGATCAGCAGGTTATCATATGAATAGTGGAATTCCAGCAGCAAGTGTTTTAAAACAAAATGCCGCCTGATACTTATTTTATCATGTTTTATAAAATCAAATCATGTTAAACTGTTCCAGTGATGTCATGGTCTCTGCTCTCTTCCCTATGCCATCTTGCTCTCTGATAAAACTTGAACTTGAAAGATTTTTTTTTTTTAATGAAGGGAGGAAAATACAGAGACTACGGCATTGAAGAGAATTAAGTAGGAATCAATACTAATAATAATCACTTACTAAAAATGGGAGTATGTTAGTTAAATACTAATGGGATTAAAACTTCTTATCGAAGCTGTATGCTGAATGTTCATTACATTTTTCTGGACATTTTTGTCCTGAAAAATCAACATTTATAGGTTGATACCACATATTTTATATAGCACATTGTATGTTATACACAGGAATTTACGGTGTACTGTAGATTCCTACCACAGAGTGTATCATCAAAATTAGGAGTTTATCAGAACTCTTAATTCTCTCCCAATCTGAAATATTAACATCATTCTTCTATGAACTATCCCATCTCCTCCTTACTTTCATCACTGAACCTCAGAATTGATTAAACTTTCCTCCTTCCAGTTTCCCATAATCAGCCGTAATTCTATGTATTATTTCTTGTTTTCCACACTTATACTTAAAAATCCCTCTCACAGCACACAAGTATACTTCTAAAACAGTAGATCCAGTTGCCCTTCCCCTACCTGCATCCTCCTCAATTCATTTGCAGCACTGTTTAACATAACTACCTTCTTTAAAGTCTTTTTAAATATCTGTTATGTGATGGTACTTTCCTAAGGAAACTCTTAAATCGTACCTAACTATGTCTCCCACCTCTAGTTCCCTACAGATAGATAGATCGATCAACAAAACAATCAATCAAATATTCTGTCCTTGAACCTCTTCAAATTTGATTGTACTTTTTTTCTCTGTGAAATTTCATGTACTTTTTGGGATTACTCTGTTATCTCTCTCCACCCTAGCCCCTGCAATGCGATTCTATCACTGGTCTTAACTGATCTGTTGATAATAAACCCTGATTTCCAAATACAGTTAGCTTATTCTGGAGGCAACCTTGACACTTTCAACTCAGCATGGCCCTTTTTGGTTTTTTTTGGCAATCCTTCCTAAAGGCAAAGTGCCTCTCCATTCAGCTTCATAAGTCCCAGGGTTGAAACACATGACTTGTTATTCAAAACCTGCCAATGCCCTTCTCTTGCCTACTGAATAAAATGTATCTCCTTGAGCATGATATGCAAAATCCTCCACAATGTGTCCTTCAACCTCATTTTCCAGCCGCCTCTCCTACTCCTCCTCCCCTAACCATATGCCCTACACACGAAACGAACAGTCACAAAATGAACTGACGATTCGTGCTTCTTTCTCATTTAGCTCCACAAAGTGAAGTAATATTTCTATGGGATGATCTCCTTATAAAAATCATACTTGACTATCAAGGCTCATCATTCAGTTATACCTTCTGCTACCTGCTAAGCCAAGATTTATGAAGCTATAATTTATGGTCCCAGAGGATTTATATGAAAAGTTATTATACTTCCTATCTCTACTGTGTCTTAAAGCAGCTGTAAGAGTGTCTGTCTCCTCTCTAGTGCATAAAGAACCTGAGGACAAGTCAAGTAACACCCAGTAATTAACACAAATTAGATGATCAGTAAGTACTTGACAGATTAAATTACTAGTGTTTGACCTTCACATATGACACTATTATGTATATTTTAAAAGTATCACTGTTGATTAGAAATAAATTTTAACACAAAGGCCAGAAGACATAACTTAGAAATCATAGGTTTAGGAATTCAAGATGCCTAGGTCTATTTTACTCTGCCTCTTACTAGCACAAGGACCCTTCAGTAAGTCTTAATCTTAATCTGTATAGTGGGAAGCTTGATTGGTGGTAAACCTCATAAATATTGCCATTCAAGTAACTGCCACATGCTCCTGCCATATTGTAAGTGTACAATGAATGCTACCTAAATTATCATAAAACAGTCAACAGTGATAACATGTATATGTGACGATTTTTGCAAACCTTGTTCTATTTGGAATTTTAAGAAAGTAAGCAACATGAAACCACTGGTTGAGAAGATGTAATTATTTGTAAACAAAGACCTTTATTTTTAGTAAAGATTCATCAGTGCAACCTGTCAGAATTTTCTACTTCAAATGATTTAAAAATAAATGATTCAAAAGTACAGTTTTTTTCCTGCTATGGCAGTAGTGAACACTGTACTAATTTGAACAGATTCTGTGAATGCCAAAAGCATTGTAATGTTGACAAATGTGTACTTCTAAACAGTGAGGATGTGTGTGTGTGTGTGAGTGGGAGAATAATATACATATAAAGTACATTCCCCAGGGTTTGCTTAGGTTTTGATGACCTAACCCAAAGCATCGCAAAGATCCACCAATATAGATGACAGTTTATGTTGGAACACAATTTAAGAATATATACTCAGCTACAAGTGGGTCGGTACAAATTGTTAATATCTCAATGTCAATACTACTCATGAGTAAATTACCACCAAGATAATTATACATATATCTCTCACCTTGGATCTTTCAGAAATTTGGCCTAGGTACTTATATAATGTTCTGAATAATGTATCTCTCTCCATTATTTAGTAAATTATGTCAGATTCATAAACATTTCTCAATTACCAGACATCAAACTGTTTTCAACAAACTTCTTATTCCAATTAACTATAACTTCGATTTTTAAATTTATGTACATACACACACACACTCTGAGAAAAAGAGACAGAGTTCACCAGGTTCCCATTTATCTTCAAAATTGACCCTATATAAATGTTATTTTAAAACAAAAGATAAAACCATAATCAGGATACTATTATTATTAACAAATCAGATTACTTGGCTATTTCTGCATATATTTTACTCTCTGATAAAAATATTATAATCATTTTCTGCCAAATATAATCTGCACCTCTGCTAATTACTCATTTTCCATTAAAATGTAAAAGTCAATAAAACTTATTTAGAAAAATGGAAAATCATACATCAGGTTGACCTGGGAGGCTCCCCTATTCTTGTCCTTTACAAAGTAATCTAACCAGATAAAGAGCTTCATTTTATTCAGCTTATTAAACCCTATGGTTTGTTTCTGTAAATTCTATAGTACACATTTAAGACCAGTCATCTGTGAGAAGAAAATGTAATACCACCAAATTTAAATAACAATCCAAACTATGAAAGTAGATGCATATACTTTTTATATGCTTATGCTTTATATAAGCTGTATAGTATGTAACTAACTCAAGTGGGCTCATCCATCATTGGTTTATTGTTTCTCTGAAAAAACACCCCTCAAGGTCTTTATATGATAAAATGAAAAATGACAGAAAAGAAAAATATGATGATATTGGAAATAAGCACATTCTGAAAGCCAATTTGTCATTGTTTTATGACATATATTTATCTTCATGTATATGAGAACACCTAGCATAGTCCTTTGCTTCTAACAGGTACTCAATAAACTTTTGCTAAATTTTGAATATATTAGTTGTGGGACAGGTCCTAAAGTATTGCTCTAGAAATATTTGATTCATCAGTAATAGCCTAACCTATGCTAAAGATGACTTTGATTGATAGAGGGCAGTCCCTTTGAAAGAAATCCAACTGAAATGTACAGAACATAAAAAAAATGCAGTGGATATAAAACACAGCATTTTCCAAGAAAAAATAGAGCATATTTTCTGGATCCAATAAAATTAGACACACACACACTTTCAAATACACTTGCAATTCATGATATATTTTATTCTATTAAGGATTTATATTATTAAATCATGGGAAAACACTGAACTCTTTCAAATACTACCATAAAATAATTTCCAAACTATATTCCATCCTTATGAAGGAATCTTGTGGCTTGGGAGCAATTAATCACCTCCCCAATCCCATGCATAAGTCCTGATTGCTTTAAATAAATCCTTTTTGCCAGGGACATAGAACAAAAATCCAACTACAACATTTTATGCTTTAACACAGTATATTAACTGTGGAAACATGACTTAACATGTTCCAACCAGAAGGTGTCCAGAGTTCTGCTTGACTGAGAAAAAAAGTACTTATTTTTCCTTTGACATAAGCAAAGAAAAAAATGTTACAGTTCTGGCAGCCATCTATCATAACAAAACTGTATAGGGAAAGAAATAACTACCTGGCATAGATAACGGAAGAGTGAAGAGCCAAAAGAGCCACTGAGATACGGAGCTGCAGTGTGATGACAATGTGAATATTTGGATTAAAGGCTTACCAGAATCCTGCCATTCCTTTGGAATTTTCTGTTACATAAGCCAATAATTCCCAAGGTTTAATTACAAGAAATCTTTAATGGAAGAAAAGATGTCACATGTTACTGCTCCAATGTGGATGTTTTCTGTATGTGTGTGTATGTGTATGTGTGTGCATGTGCGTGTGTGTGTCTGCATATTTCAAGTTTTCTTGAGAAGAGTTTTCCATTATTGTACCAAACATCATTCTAGTTTATATGGACTTTGGTATCAGGAAGTGGGTTGTTGAAAGTTAATAGATCCTATAATGTGGAACAGGCTGAATTATGAGAAGACAAGGATGATAAACCTCCCCCACCCCAACTCAAAATGATACTTGGTACATGATTAAAAAACAGTTGATTAAACAATGGTCTATTTTATCCTAAGTCATGTGCCTTACGAGTACCAACACTATTAGGAGATTTGATAGAAACAAAAATGTTGCCACCTACTGGCCTCTTTAAACCAAGAAAGAAAAAACCTCATGCTAATGGTTACTTGTTTTTGAAGTACAGAAAAAAAAGAAAATATAGCTTTGTCTGAAGAAGCCCTCTCTGCCTGTGGCTTATAACGTGAACGCCTTGAGAGGCTGATAATTTGGAGCCTGATATGAGTGGAAAAGCCAATTTGTATTTTTACTCCAAATCGAATGTTTGTATGAACAGAGACAGGAGAGGCAGAATGTAAGACTTAAGTACTAAAAAAAATCAACTATAGTGCTTCCCTAAAGCACTTTTGTGACAAAGTAGACGATCCCTCCTATCATGAAGAAGCAGCTTCTATGTAATCTATACTTCAAAGATATACTCAAAGATTGGCTATGCCCTCTACCCCAACCCTGTGCTGCAAATTTTCTCAGTCAGGGGATTGTGCAAAGCACAGAGGCCTCTTAAAGATGTCAAAAGAGGTTAACATTTGAAGCCTAAAACCAAATCATAGAATTTGGGTTACTGGGTCATGGAATTGATAAGAACAAATACTGAAAGCCTATAAATAGTAAACAAATCTGATTGCCAAAGAAACCCCAGGTCTAACTAAAAACACCTTGTTATCACTCAAACCTAGGGCAAGCACCAGGACTTTTAAACAACACAATAAGTAGAATAATAAAGTAACACAAAACCCCAAAATATGTCAACTTCAGATATCATGATGAAGACAAGTATTTAGCAAAATTTATAATGAACAGAAGGAAAAATCACCAGGAAGGCTCTGAAAGTGCAGGATATAATATCTGTTTCAATTTGGTTTCTTTTATAAATTTAGTTTAGTTTTAATCAGGATGTGCCCTTCTAACTTTTTACTTAGCAGTACTGGACATCAAATTTTTTCACTTAGTCATAGTCCACTGGATGGATCATAAAGACTAATTGAAAGGGACTGCTAATCACCCAGATATCCCAACCTTGGAGCTGAATGCAATCACTGGATAATGTTTTATACTTGCTCTTTTTGAGGAGTCTGAGCATCTTTGAAAGTGAATATATGCTATGAAGGGTGTATAGCAATGTTGGATATTCAAAGAGGAGGACTGTAGTAAGCACTGCAATTATACAGTCAATATCCTTTCTTCTACTCTCTGATGGCACAGTAGCCTGGTGATTTGGAAAGCATTGTTATTACTCTCAGTTCTAGATATGCGCTCGGTTTTTGTGCAAGCCAAGTGGGATACTGCTATGTACTTTGCTTCAGGGAGGTGTTCAGGCCAGGCATATGATCTAAGAGTTTCCAAGCAGAGAGAAACTCAGACCTTTTGTTTCCTATTTGGGTAAAGATATATTCTTTACATTTAGCTGTAAACAAGGGAAAAGAGTTTCCAAGATCTGCTGAGGGAAGCCGGTCTGTATGAGTTCGAAAAGTTATGGAGGGTAGGCTTAGATTAACAGAGAAGCAAAGACTTCTCCTTAAATCCATAATAAAACTCTGTATTAAACCCTTGAGCAAACCTTGAACTCTTTACTTAGCCAACAAATTCTCTTTGTATCTTGAGTACATTTGAAACCAAGCATCCTAAATAATACAGGATATAATAGACTTTAATGTTCTTCATCAACTTAATAAATCCTTAAATAATCAACAATCATTCTAATATGTACTTATATCATCTTCAGTGCCGAATGTTCTGATTTCAAATTCAATGTTCAATTGCTCAGTTCACCAAATCTAGTTAATTGCTGTTAGTCAAAAAGCATTCTCATTAATGACACTGATGCTATTATCAATAAAATGGAGTCATTTTGAATTGGTTTGCTTATTCATCAAATGGAATTTTTAGAAAGGATGTATTATCTTACTACAACTAGGATGCCAAATGGGAATTTAATGCACCATTTTTTCACAGGCTTGCTATAAATCAGAATCTTTAAAACATTTCTCTCCAATTCTCTCTCTTCCACTCCTGAAAGAGATGGTAATATCATCTGAATCTCTTTCAAGGAAAAAAGATTAATGAAGTCATCTGTTGATAGATTTCACAGCAATTATTCTTCCTCATTACCAGTTCCCAAACTTCACCTTTCATTTTATAAAGTAACCTTTATTTTAAACCTGCCTGTATTTTACCTTCTTATTTTCTGGTTGCCTGATTTATAATTTGTCATTATATTGCTTATATATTCATCCACTTTTAGTAAATCATGAAGTGTGTGCATAAGTGTGTTTATGAAAACCCAACCTTTCCTCTAATGATAGCTTCATAAAGCTCTATGTTGTGTCATTTTAGCATACAGGTTAATAGAATCAATTCTGGAATGAGATTGTGTGTGTGTTCAAATCCTGGCACAGCTGCTTTTCATGTGCATAACTGTGCACAGATTTCTTAACCAGCTTATCAATTTTCTCAAGTGTAAAATGGATATATTAACAGAATCTTCTCAATAGGGTTGTTATAAACATTGAATTAATGTATGAAAAGTGTTTACAGCAATGTTTGTTATATAATGATTGTCCAATATCAGTTAGTAATTTTTGTGACATTATTCATCATCACAGACATTATCTAAGAGTAACTGGTTCATTATCTAAGATCAACACTCAGGAAGGAGCTTAGGCTAATAAAATGATTCAGAGCCCAGAAATTGGAAAACTTGGGTTGAGTGACATACCTATCAGTTTCTAACCATACTACTTTGGTCAACTCATTCAAGATATATAAGGTTGTTTTTAGTTGACAGAGTTAAAAATTTCATCTTTTATCTCACAAGTAAGCTCACTGGGGCATAAATAATACAAAGCACGTAAAAGGGATATGAACATTTTATAAGGTGTGAAGAATCCCTCTTATACATAAGAGCATAACACATTCTTCAGTTGAAGCAATAGAGCCCTTTCACTACCTGTTCTGGGAATGGCTCAACTTATGTAGCACTTGCTCTTGTCTTTCCACGAACACAAAGTTTGCAGCTGAAACATGAAACCTCTTTCCTGCTTCCCAATCTACCAGATTTTCAACATGGATAATATAACATAAAGGACTTATCTGTCTGTACCATAGAAATAAGTAGTATTTTGCCTGGCTTTCCAAGTCCTCAGAGTCTCACCATACCCTATTTTTCTCAGAATTTCATTGCCATTTTGGGGCAATGAATTCTTTTGAGAATATGATTGAAATTCTGGATCCTTTACACTATGTGTACACAAAAATGTTTGGAGATTGTGTTAGCGGGATTGTGGACGCTATTATGCACATTTAACAAACTCTTAGGGTTTTATAAACTGTGATGATTGTTATACCATTTTATTTATCTGCACCGGCTTATCATTACAAGCTCAGTTAACATTCTCCATCCTTCAGTAATTAGTAATGTTAGCCCGTGTCTTTAAAAAACAAAACAAACACATATGTATTGAGGTATGATGTCCTCTGATTATATATCTTAATGTAGTATTTTATTTTATAGTGTACTATTTACCAGTTCTGCCAGTGTTAATCATTGTCCGTAATTAGAATATTATTTCCTATCTTCAGTTTTCTCTATTAAATTGTGATTTTTGAAGACCATGTCACTATTTTCCTGATTTTCATTTATTGAAATTGAAAAATATATGTAAGAGTTTTTCATTTATTGACATTTAAAAATATATGTAAAAGAGTTTTACATTTTTAAATTACATGTTTTATTTATTTTTGCATGTTTTAAAATATGTAATTTCACTGACAAATGAAAATTCAGAGAAATGAAACTCCTATAAAATTAATTGAAAAGAGTCTAGTGTAAAATATTCTGAATATAACCTTTGTTCTAAGTACATATATAGATGTATAACCACACAAATAATTTATTTTTTCAAAACCAGTCACAATGTTGTCTTAGCTACATTTTCAGTTATTTAATGTATTGTAAAAATATGCCATGCAATTAAACTCTTTTATATCTTAACTTTGTAGTGGCTTCATGGTATTATATCATTTGGAGATATAATTTATTTAAAGAAACTAACAGTATATTCACATGTGCATATTTCCACTGAACACACATTAATTTCATTAACAAAAAGAAATACAAGACCAAAGAAGTTGACCTCTAAACTATCTTCCTATACTTCTAATGTGAACACTATTCAATCATCTCATAATTTAAATTAAAATGAAATAAACTACATAGGCACTGGAATTTTGTTTCTTTCTACCTCTTAAAATTTGGAATGCTCCCTTAAAATTAATAGATTCCAATAACTTACAAGAAAATACCCACCTTTACACAAAGTTACTATAAAAATCCTTCATGTGTGATTAAAAAATAATATTTACATGTTTACTTTGTGATCAGATTTATACTTAGCAGCTCAATTTTTAGAATAATGATATGAGGAAATAACTATTATGAAGCCATTTTATCAAAAAAAGAGCAAAATATCAGGATCTCAAAGAGCTATTAGCACTCCAGTGCTCATTATAGCACGATTAAAAATAGTCACGATGTGGGAACAACGTAAATGCCCGATAGCTGAATGGATAAAGAAGATGTGGTAAATACATACAATGGAATTTTATTCAGTCTTTAAAAAGAAGGAAAACTTGCAATATGTGACAAGTTGGATGAACCTTGAAGGTATATTGTAAATGAAAAAAGCTAGACACAGAAATACAAATACTTCATGATTCTACTCACACCAGGTATCTAAAATTGCCAAACTCAGAGAATCAGAGATTAGAGTGGTGGCTTTTAGAGGCTGAAAGGAGGAGAAAATGGGGAAATGCTAATTAATGGGCATAAAATTTTCATCATGCAAGATGAATAAATTCTAAAGATCTGCTACACAACGTTGTCTCTAATAATACTGTATTGTACACTTAAAATGGTTATTTGATAAATCTGTTGAGTGTCCTTACAGAAGAAAAGAACAGTTTTAACAAATGTTTTATGTATCACAAAGCAGATGATGATGCCCTATGGTGTTTCTTGCTAACAATTTTCAACACATTTTTTATGTAAGGTGAAATGTCAACTAAAATATCCAAATAGACAAAAGTGAGCACAATGTGCAGTAATATACCTTAAGTCACACATTTAGTAAGTAGCAGAACCAGAATTACAGATAAAAGTCAGACTGATTAGCAACTGTGTTTGCGTGTCCGTGTGTGTGTGTGTGTGTGTGTTGTGTTGTGTATGTGTGTATGGGTGGGTGCCTACATGCTTAGTATATTTTAATCTCCTAAAATCAAAGGGCAACTGTCCAGGCCAATATGAGTACATTCTACGAAACAAGAATAAACACTAACATGTGATCCCTTCTCTACTCCTCCCTCATTCTCTCACAGTCAGAGTTATATTATCTTTCCCTGCCCCATGACCAAAAAAGAATCTGTGCTTTTCACATTCTGTCCTTTGTGAAGAGAAAATTTGACTGGTCAACATAAACTTACGCACGTTGTCACTCCTGTGAATAATTCTAATAAATAAATGACTAGGAACTTTGACTCCCTCCTTACAACTTTGGCAATAAAACAGATTTTTAAACATATAATTTGCATAAGTTAATCATGTAAATATAAAAATTTAAACATAAAACAAATGTACTGAAAGAAAAAACAACTATTATGAGGTCATGTATAACAATAAAATCACCACTGATAAACCTAACACACTAAAAAGTAAGATAAGTCTCAAAGTCACTGGAAAAAAATATGTAATGAAAAATTTAAAGTTATAAATCTTACAAAAATATAGGACAGTGCCTAATTATCTGAGTGATTAATATTGCTAGGTATGCTAGGGGAGATCAGCCAATGCTTAGTCCAGTGTTATAGTTGAGCCTTTTGTATTTCTACAGTTATATGTTTTGCTTCATGATATGGTATAATTGGAGTTATTCCACAGGGGAAGTTAATAGAAGGAAAGAATAAAGATCAGAACAAAAGTAAATAAAATAGAAACTAGAAAAACAATAGAAAATAGTAACAACGAGGTTTTGGTTTTTTTTTTTGTGAAAAGATAGACTGGCTTGTTCTTGACATTTACTGATTCCACAATATGCAATTCAGATTTAGTAAAGAACATTTACTGAATGGAAATTGTCACCCAACTCTTTCTGGTTTTTTGTCCTTGTTAAGTGAATGAACAAAATTGGCGAAAAATTTTATGTCCGAAAGTTCTTAAAGTCTAGGGGAAACATTTCTTATGAACTAAATGTAATTCAAAAACATTTAACAGAAGGAATCTTAATGTCAGGCAGTGAGAAAAAATAGAAAGTCAAAGATCTCTAAAGATGGGGGTGATGAAAAAGAAAAGGAACTGCCTTTTATGAAAATGGAAATACTATTTTGTTTACTGGGGGGTAGATTTAGGTAAATAATAAAATAGAAGTTTTAATTGGCAAAGCGAAAAACACTTAAAACATGCTGAAAAAGACCACGTCAATCAATTTTACTCACTTTAAACATGTTTTTTTCATTCCCTTTTCACAGTATACTGAGACTGAAACTGACACAAGAAACGTTCACTAAATTGTTGATGTTCGTTTCGCTCTAATATTTGTACTTTTTTTTTTTTTTTTTTTTTTTTTTTTTTGAGACGGAGTCTTACTCTGTCACCCAGGCTGGAGTGCAGTGGCGCGATCTCGGCTCACTGCAACCTCCGCCTCTGGGGTTCAAGCGATTCTCCTGCCTCAGCCTCTGAGTAGCTGGGAATACAGGCATGTGCCACCACACCTGGCTGATTTTTGTATTTTTACTTGAGACGGGGCTTCACCATGTTGGTCAGGCTGGTCTCGAACTCCTGAACTCATGATCCGCCTGCTTCGGCCTCCCAGAGTGCTGGGATTACAGGCATGAGCCACCGTGCCTGGCCTAAATTTTTGTACTCTTAAAAAACTAAGCTATCATATTGATTATGACCATGACACATATGACCATGAAAATATTTTTCTAATATTTAACGTAACGTTTAGAAACATCACTAAGAACTTCAAATACAATCAAAATACTGACTTTGAATATTGTTTTTTTCAAAGGCCTGACGTTTTTGTCCAACACAAATAAGACTGTCTTCACAACTGGTCCTCAGGCACTGAGTAGAGTAAGTTTCTCCAAGCCAAAGGCTGTCTATAAATCTTAATCTACTTTTGTACACTACTAAAATTTCCTCTCATGGAATGGTGAAAAATCTCCAATAATTCTTATGCTTTAATTTATTGAGAAAAACAATTATTTCATTCAAAATTAGGTATTACATCTCAAATTATGAATGCCCAATATTTGTTAAAAGACTCATATATTTAATATTACTTCAAAAATTAGTGAAAACTTTATATAAGCCAATATTTTCAAAATGTACTTAAAAATAGAAATTTCATTTTGAGCCTCAACATTGTTTGCTGTCTCTCTCCCCCCATCAACTCTCCTTCCACCCACCCCAACCTTTCTCCCCAGCACACACACACAGAAACACATACACACACACACACAGTCAAAGTTGTTTTGAACAGAAAACCCTCAGGCTACGCCCCTTATATTTGAGACGGGAGTGGGGGTAACAGTCCACAGCTGCTCATCTACTTCTGGTACCTTCTCTAGCCTTATTTATTTCCTAGTTACATATTTTACATCACTTTTCACTGATTTCTTCTCCATACATTTTCTACCTTTGACCAGTAAGTGATAGTTTTCCTCTTTATCTAATCTTTTTGCTATTAGGCGATAAAGAATCTTAGAGCAGCAAAGATTCCAAAATATCTGTTTCGTCCATCTCTTAAGCATAGGGTTATTTCCATGGCTTTAGTAATACCATTTATTGAAATCATGTCCCACCTAAAGTATTTTCATTCTTTTCTTATCTAAGCCTCGTAAAAAGCTCTGTTCAAGATGAACTTACTCTATGGAAATCTTCCTGAGTACGAGTCGATGGACCATTGTAGGATGCATAAACTGCCGATTCTTGGATCCCATTCATCACGCTAGTAATAAGCCTTATATATCCATATTTGTACGATCTCTCCAATCACTGAAATTAGTTTGGAAAAATCAAACATGTGTTTGAAATACAAGGTAGCATATCCCACCTTGTATTACTCATTCTTTTATACGTAACTCTTCTATTACGATGAGGTTGATGGGATTAATAATTCATAGTAAGAGAAGGAAGATGACGTAAAACTGTGCTGCAGCAGGGTTTATATTGCAGGACCTGCTTCAAAACCCTGAACAATATATTAGATTCACGGGCAGCTGCTCCCTTAAGTATTGCTGTTCACTCAACTCTTAGAATATACAATACAATCGCAAACTGGGGCATATAAAAGAAACGTGATGCTTTCATTCATTTGATCAATATGCTTTATGTACCTAGTATATATTCTAGTCCTTTTCCTCTTGGAGTTTTTACTCATTAGGGAAAAACGACCTGCAAATATCGTAATGTCAGTAGTGATAACTACAATGAGGAAAAAAATTAAAGCTTTGAAAGAAGACAGAACAATGGTAGTGGCATATCAAATAGGGTAGTCAGAAAAGATCTCTTTGCAGTCTAAGGTAAAGGAAGTGCGCCATATGAATAACTGGGGGAAAAACCCTTCCAGGAAGAGGGAGATACATGTGTAAAGTCACTGAACTCAAAGTATGCTTGGCGTATTTGATGCCAAGCTAGTAGGCCAGTGTATCTGGAGCTGAGAAATGGGGTTAAGGGTAGGAAAGAAGGTAGGATACCTATAGGGAACAAATCACGATGGTGTTTTGGATTTTCTTCCGAGTGTAAAGTGAAATTATTTCAGGATTTAGAACTACTCTCAACATCTTCTCTACTTACTCAGTTTGTAAATTCCTTAAGGGCAATAATATGGCCATATATGTTCCCCATGCTTGGTTCACTGTCTCTCATTCCATAATAGTTACCACTATTCCACAAGACCCATCGATTAGAATTATGGATTTAAGGCTTGCAAAGGAGAAGAAAGCTCATCTTAGACAGCTATATGGTTCCAGTACATAGTAAGTGAACATATTAATAAGCCATGTGTCCCGTGACCGACTGCCTTTTACAACCAGTCTCATTAGGTAGTCTATACTTAAACACTACTCTGACAGAGGGCTCACTATCCCCCAAAGCCTTTTATTGCATTTTGAGACATTTCTATTAGCGAGTATTCAAATATCACATATTTGACCCCATGAATTTTAGCAAGTTAACTTAGTTTATGATTTCAATTTTGGAATTTAATTTTTTATGCTTGAAGAGTTCATATCAAAAAAAACAAATTTTGAGAGCATGGCCATGTTTTTATTTCATAGTTCATTTTGTCCTTAGATGTTTCTGACAACATAAATTTAGCAGTGTAGCAGTTATTAACACCATTCATATTTATTTCCAGCTTTCTACCTTTGAGACATGTAATACGAATATATTTCTTAGTTCTAAGTTGGGTGAGACCATGTAACTAGTTGTGCTCGTGAGTTGTGAACTGAAGCAGATATGTCACTTCCAGTTCAAGCAATTAATTGCCAGCACAAGACCTTTCAGAATTTTCTTTCCCTTTGCGGAGTGACTGGGAGTATCCTAGATAGTAGCTGTTTCATCAGGCTGGGTTTCCAAATGACCACAATGAATAGCGTTCCCTTGCTGATTCACAGTGCACATTGGAATGAAAAAGTTATTATAACATAGTGAAATTTAATAACCAGATCTAGAATGACTGGTTTAGATGGCACTTAATAAACATTAAGTGACTAGTAACACATTCTAACAGCAGTCTTTAACCTGCATATTGTGATACATTAGTAAATCTCCAAACCACAATTGGGTTATCATGGTAAAGAGCTTTATGGTAGTTTCTAGGACATACTAATTACTCAATAATTTTCTATTGAAAGAAGGAGTGGCGATTCCTCAGGGATCTAGAACTAGAAATACCACTTGACCCAGCCATCACATTACTGGGTATATACCCAAAGGATTATAAATCATGCTGCTATAAAGATACATGTACACGTATGCTTATTGTGGCACTACTCACAATAGCAAAGACTTGGAATCAACCCAAATGTCCAACAATGATAGACTGGATTAAGAAAATGTGCCACATATACACCATGGAATACTATGCAGCCATAAAAAAGGATGAGTTCATGTCCTTTGTAGGGACATGGATGAAGCTGGAAACCATCATTCTCAGCAAACTATCGCAAGGACAAAAAACCAAACACCGCATGTTCTCACTCATAGGTGGGAATCGAACAATGAGAACACATGGACACAGGAAGGGGAACATCACACACTGGGTCCCGTAGTGGGGTGGGGGGAGGGGGAAGGGATAGCATTAGGAGATATACCTAATGTTAAATGATGAGTTAATGGGTGCAGCACACCAACATGGCACATGTATACATATGTAACTAACCTGCACATTGTGCACATGTACCCTAAAAGTATAATAAAAAAAAAAAGAAAGAAAGAAGGAGTGAATGTAACCATTCACCTAACAAGAAGTTTTTGAGACATATTGCCTCAATATTTCAAGGGCCACTGAGTAATAATGACTTATTTGTTTAAAAATTAAGACGGTAAAAATAGTAAGTTGTTAAATTTCCAATGAAAAAAATTGCACCATAGAAGCAAAAGTGAAATGTTATAGCACATACAAAACACACACACACACACATACATACACACACACACACACACACACACACACACACACACAGTGTGTATACATAATGGATTTAGAGTTCTAGTTATGAGGATGAGACTAGGGAAATAGGCACAGAGATAAAGTGCTGTTAGAGACAACCCATATGTATAACTTCGAATAGAACATACTCCCTATGTAAGTGTTTAGTATTATTGGTAGATATGTGTATTGCTGTATGTATATACCCACACACACACATATATATGCACACGTAACACACAGATATATACTCTATTTGAAAACTTTGCTTATAATCTAACCATGTATCAGTGCTATCTTTACAGCATGGTATTAAGTATATAACTATAGCATGAATTTTAAAGATTTCATGATATTGCATTAAAAATATTTACCCTAAGTTTTATTAATCCTATGGTGATCACTATTCAAGTGTTTATTAAACTTTCCCTCTTTGAAAACCTGTTTTAACTATGTCTTACATCATTTCATTTACCAGATTATTACTCCTAAATTTAAATTTTGTGATTAAAAAATTATGCACCAGAAGGACAGCATCAATTTATTCTGTCATAAGCCCTCTTACAACTTTTGATGTTTCCTGTTTCTTTATGTTCTGCAAAATTATCAGTATTATCACTGTTTCAATCTGCCTATCTGGTAGTTAAAAATAATTTGATTGTTTATATTATATTTTTTTATTAAGTAGATGGTATGTCTTTTTACATACTTAATGATATATGGGCTTTTTCGCTTTTGTCATTTTCTGGCTCATGTTCTTTATGAATTTTCCTATTGGGGCATTCTAGTTTTACTTATTGATTTATCAGCATTATTTATATATGAGGGCTATCAATCCTTCGTATGTTATAAATGTTACTAATAATTTTCCCAACTTTATATTTGACTTCTAACTTTCCTTAGAGTCTTTCTTAAAAGCATCATAACCAATACATGATGCAAGAATTGCCATACTAAATTCCTTTATTGACTCCATAAATAATTAACTATAATCATGCTCTATGAAGCAATAGAAATGTTAAGATTTTTAAGAGCTTATAAAAACTTTATTTCACATTTATTCCTGGCTTCTAGGATCAAGTGGCCAATAAGCAATTATTAAATTAATGGTAATACTACAGTGCTTCCGGCATACTTGTTCCTGAACTATTTGAGGTACCAAATAGTTAAAATGACTTTAATCACCTAGCTCACCTGAAATTTAAATTATAAAGTAGAAGTAGAAGAATCCACGGGCTAATCTTATTTCTCATTCCATTAATGATCTAAATTTCTTCTTGAAATGACTTTTTCAGGTATTATAAAGTAAATTTGAATGTTTCAGAAAGAGGACTACATATCTTAGGAAGCAGATAATTGCCACTGGATTTAGCAATCTGACACACAATATAGAAATTTCTAATTAAAGTTCTATTTTTATAATGCTAATCTTTCAGCCAAAAATTTCCTTGGGACATGTTATAATGAAGATAAAATGTACTAAGATTTTAAATTGACCAGAGTTCCCAGAGACACCTAATAAACATTTTCATAAATATTCACTATAAGTAAGTTTTATTGTGAAGTAATCCCATTGTTATACATACCTCTCATCATTGGCATCATTACACTTTAAATAAGTTACCTAATAGAAGTAAGTATTTAAAATGCTAAGCTTGAAAATCTGGATTTGCTACACATAAAAGAGGAACATGACTTTATGTAGCTGAATTGGTATGCAGATGATCTAGAAATGAGGAGTTTCATAACGATACCATCAACTCATCATTAATCCTTCCAAAGATAGTTTATTTCCCCAAAGATTTAATTGATAGCATTCTCATAATTTAAAAAATGACTGTATTTCTATTAAACTTTATAATGAACAAAATATGTGACCGTTAATTATGTGTTGATTTTAAAGTCACTCTAATTATTACTAAATAAGGTATCTCTTCAAAAGAATTAATATTTTTCTTTACATTGACATGCTTAAGGGGGTAAACTCTTAGTGAAAACAAAAAAGTTTGCTAGTAGATTTGAGACCCACATGGATTTAACACATGTATGACATAATAGGAGGCTCTGTGTTAATCTACAAGTTTGGTAACAAGTTTATGTTGATTAACCAAGCATTATTACATTTTTTCACTGATATTATTTGTAGATAAAGACCACAATATGCAAGGATATGTGCTGCCAGAATTCTATAGCAGGGATTAAAATTAGGCATGGGTATCCACTAATTATACATTTTAAGGAATATATCTGTATGGCCGGGCACAATGGCTCACATCTGTAATCACAGAACTTTGGATGGCCAAGGCGGCTGGATCACCTGAGGTCAAGAGTTCGAGACCAGCCTGGCCAAAATGGGGAAACCTCGTCTCTACTGAAAAATACAAAAATTAGCTGGGTGTGGTGGCAGGCACCTGTAATACCAGCTACTCAGGAGGCTGAGGCAGGAGAGTTGCTTGAACCCAGGAGGCAGAGGTTGCATTGAGCCAAGATCGTGCCAGTGCACTTCAGCCGGGGCAACAGAGCAAAAACTCCATCTCAAAAAAAAAAAAAAAAAAAAAAAGAAAAGAAAAGAAAAGAAAGAAATGTATCTAAGTTTTCATTTTCAATCATGGTTGTCATGTATCTTAATTATGATGTTACAACACTTTGAATATAGTTTCATTAAAATATAAGGTTAATAATTTAAAGAGAAAAGATTAAAAATATTAAAATATTTTCTGAAAACAAAATAGATTGTAATAAAATTAATGCAAAAAAGAAAATCAAATTACTTAATGAATGTAGAAACTAGAGATCGCCCTACAGAAAATGTGACAGTGTGATGAATTAGCTTAAAATAATTATAATCCTTAAGAAGACATCATGTTTAACAAAATTCAGGATATCAGGATCCTAGACCAAATATTTCTGCTCTGTAATCTTAGGTACATGACTTAGCATATCTCAGCTTGAGTGTCTTCACCTGTAAAATGAAAGGTGTAGAGGTTTCAGTGTCTACTTAATATTCTTGGTATTAAATTACACATACAAATTATTTCCAAATGGATTTGAAATTTCATTTGTGCTAGAAAGCAATTAAGTGGCCATTTCGGCTCCTACTCTGTGACACTTATGTGCAAGGACATTCTCAAACTTCTTAATCAGGAGCCTGGATATTTGAAGATCTGTACAAGCTTACCTAAAACAAGTACAGTCATCAGTAAGTAGAGTGCACTTTATTGAACACCTGTTAGGCACCATGCTAGCCACATTTCCCAACTAACCTGGATTCTTCAGAAGAATCTTGTAAGTTCTGACAGATTGTATTTTTTTAAGATGGATACAATATGTTTCATCTTACATGTTATTCTTCGGATGTAACACTGATACTTCTCCATCAAGAGTTGGGTTTATGTTTCTGCCCCTTGACTAGGATGGACCCCTGACTATGGAAGAAGTTATACTATGTGACTTCCAAGACTAAGTCACAAAAGGCAATAGAGTTTCTGCTTGGTACTCTTTGGGTCACTTACTCTTGGAATCCAGCCAGCATTTAGTGAGTGACTGCAGATTAAATAAGGCCACATATACATGTTCCAGCCAACTGCCCTGGCTGAAGTTCCAGCAGTAGCCACCAGGCATGTTAGTGAAGAAGCCTTCAAAATGACTTCAGCTTCATCTACTATTTTATTACACCTATATGAGAAGCCCTGAACCCATCTGAGACCCAGAATCAAAAGAGATAATAAGAAAAACGAATGTTGTTTTTATAAGCTCCCAAGTTTTGAGTTGATTTGCTATATGGCAATAGTTACTGGTGAACAAGGTAAGCACACCTGTATTACACAGGTGAGCTAAGCATTACACAGGTATGCCAAGAGATAACTGAGTCACACAACTAAGGTCAATCAGTTGTAACACGAATTCTTACTTCCATAAAGACTTGATTTGTAAAAGAAAAATAATAAAACATAAAAATAAAAAAGTATTAAAATAAATGTTTGAAAAAGATATTCCTTAAGAGGCCCTTCCTAAAGAAGGCATACTGCATCTAGCCTACATGTGGAGATCCAAACAAACTATTAATGATTACAAATAAGCCGCCCTGACCTGCTTAAACACCGGAACACAGATTAGCTAAATTCCATCCAATAATTCATTCAAATTCTAGGAACCGACAAATCCCATAAAATGTAATAAACATGACTTAAATGAGAGCATTCAAATATCCTTGGTTCGCAAAAATTGACTCTATTTTTGTAACATCCACAGCAATACCTCTGGACCTATCTCTGGTATCAAGAGACAAAAAAGTCATTTTCTAGAATGGTTGGTAAAATTATATATCATCTCTTCCAGAAACTCCAAATATCTTTACCAAATGTAAAAATGGACTTTCATTCTACATTTTTTGACTTATATTTTTAAGATTACATTATCATTTATAAATATAATGCAAAATGGAAGAGTGTTGATCCACGTTGTTGTAAATATTTCTTTACCCTTAACTACTTATTGAATGCCTGTTGTGTAAGAAGGTGAATGGAGTCTTTCCCCTCTAACACTCTATGTGATAGTGGAGGCTTTTCTCACATACACTATGCATTAATTATTTTAGCCACCCCATGGAAAGTTGAAAGTATCTTTATTTTAGAGATGAGAAAACTGAGTAATAGAGAGAAAATAGCATATGCAGGTCCCACAGACTAGATTCCTATTATACTCCTGTTTTCATCTTAATATCTTAGCTATGGAATATTCCTTAATGTTCTTCGAAAAGTTTAACACCATTAAAATTCTTATTTACATCAAAATAAACATGAATAGAATAATTCAGAGGACAAAACAGGAAATGTATTTGGGACATGGATGACAGAAAATTTCCTATTCTTATTTAGAATTATCACTTATATGTCAAGAAGAAAAATAACATTCCCACACTATTCAAAGCTTTTTTTAAGCATCAATTTCCTAACCTATTTTGATAGGTAACTCCATTTGTGGAGTTACATCTTTGTAAGATTTTTTTGAAGATCAGAAATAATAAATGTAAATTACATGCTAGGCATTTAACATATTTCCTAAATGCAGACACACCTAGTGGAATAAATGATGTATTTTGGTTATACTATCCTTATAAAATTTTCATACTTAATGAGGGCTTTACCTTAAATAACTTTTTGTTTTTAAGTTACTTACACTAAATCATTTTTTTAAAAACCTCTAGGTTTTTGGACTATAACACAATAACGCTCCTTTAATCTTCATAAAGAGACCACTATGAACAATTTTACACCAAGAAACTGTAATCTAAAAACATGGTTAAATTCCTAGAAACATAAAACCTACCAAATCTGAACTGTGTAAAAATGGAAAAGTCTGAATAGATCAATACAAGTAAGGGATTGAGTAAGTAATTTTTAAACTCTCAACAAAGAAAAGCAAAAGACGAGGTGACTTCATAAGTGATTTCTATCAAACATTTTTTAAAGAAAATTAATGCCAATGCTTCACGAACTCTTTGAAAAAACTGAAGTGGAGGGAGCACTTCCAAATTCACTTTATAAGGTCAGCATTACCAAAGCCAGAAAAAGACATCCCAAGAAAACTGCAACTCAATATCCTTGACAGATATAGAGGCAAAATTCTCAACAAAATTCTGGCAAATTTTAACAACACATTAAAAGGATCATATACCATGACCAAGTGAGATTTATCCTTGGGATACAAGGATGGTTCAACATGAAAATCAATTAGTATGATACACCACGTTAACAGAATAAATAAGAAGTCACATGTTCATTTCATTAGATGCTGAAAACTTGTTTGGCAAAATTCAACACAATTTCACTATTTAAAAAAAACCATTAAACTCTCAACAAACTAGGAATAGAAGGAAATTGCTTCAATGTAAAAGCCATATATAAAAAGATCGCAGGTCATATCACAACAACTGCGAACTGAAAGGATTTTCTATGAAATCAGGAACAGGAGGAACAAGGTAAGTATGCCCATTCTTGCCACTTCTACCGATGGCAATACTGGAAGTCCTTGCTAGAATAATTAGGCAAAAAAAAAAAAGTAAAGGTATATAAATCAGAAATGAAGAATGTTATTCCTATTTGCAGATGACATAATCTTATGAATAGAAAACCCTAGAATCCATTAAAAACACTAGAACCAATTTAAAAATCAGTAAAGTTGTAGGATACAAAATCATCATACAAAAATTAGTTGAGTTTCTAGGAGACAAATTCCATTCACAAGAGCACCAAAAAGAAAACAGTAATAAACTAAAGAGGTCAAAGAGTATGTACTGAAAACTATAAAACATTGATGAAAGAAATTAAAGATGACAAAATCAAATGGAAAGACATCCTACATTCATGGATCGAAGGACTTAAAATTGTCATTACATTCAAAGAAATCTACAGAACTAATATAATCTTTATCAAAATTCCAATGGCATTTTTCACAGAAACAGAGAAAAACTCTGAAATTCATATGGAACCACAAAGAATCCCAAATGGCTAAATCAACCTTGAGAAAGAAGTACAAAATTGGAGGTATCACACTTCCTGATTTCAAAATATATTACTAAACTACAGTAATTAAAAATAAATTGTATTGTCATGAAGACAGACATATAGACCAATAGAACAGAATAGAGCCCAGATATAAATCTACACATATAGGGTTAACTGATGTTCCACGATAGAGCCAAGCATACACAAGGAGGAAAGGATAATCTCTTCAACAAATGGTGTTGGAAAAACTGGATATCCACGTGCAAAATAATGAAATTGGTGCTTATCTTATGCCATATGCAAATATCAACTCCAAACGGATAAAATATGTAAATGTAAAACCTCAATCCATAAAACTCCTAGAAGAAAACATTGGAAAAATCTTGTGACATTCATCCTCGCAATTATTTCCAAAAGCACAAGCAATAAAAGCAAAAAAAATAGAATTAAGACTACATAAAACTAAAAATCTTCTGTTTAGAAAAGGGAACAAATCAACACTGTGAAAAGGCAATCTATGGAATGGGAAAATACAAACCATATATATATATTATGAGAATTATTTCTAACTCAGAGCTATTAGGAGGGTTAAATAAAATGAATTATATAAAGAATACTTCATGGTATAGCTACATTCTAAGTTATCAAAAAGACAGCAACCAATATCATGATTACTATTTTAAATACATCAGGGCTTAGGTAAGATTTTGTGATCAGACCTGAAGACCTTATATTATATTAACAACTGGTTATCTTCTAAAATATATAAAGAATTCCTACAACTCATTGGCAAAAAAAAAAAAACTAAAAACGCAATTAAAAATGGGCTAAAGGCTTGAACAGACATTTCTCCAAAGACGACACCCAAATGGTCAACAGGTGTATGAAAATATGTTCAACATTATGAATTATCAGGGAAATGTAAATGAAAAGCAGAATGAGCTATCACATTTATACCTGTTGGATGCCTACTATTAAAAAATGGATTAGTAAGGATGTGGAATAATTGGAACTATTGTACACCGTTGGTGAAGTAAAAAATGGCATGGCTATTATGGAAAATAATATAGTTGCTCCTCAAAAATTAAAAACAGAACTCCCACTTGATCTAGCAATCTCACTTTTGGATATTTATCCAAAAGAATTGAAATCAGGATCTTGAAGGGATACCTGCAATGCCATGTTCATTGCAACACCATTCACAAGAGCCAAGATGTGGAAACATCCTCAGTGTCCACTGATGGATGAGGGGATAAAGAAAATGTGGTATATACATACAAGAGATTACTATTAATATTCAAAAAGAAAGAGATCCTGCCACATTAACAACATGGATGAACCCTAAGGACATTATGGGAAGTGAAATAAGACAGTCACATAAGGACAAACACTCCATGATTCTACTTATAAGAGGTATGTAAAATACTCAAGCTGATCAAATCAGAGAGTGAAATAGTAGTTGCTAGAGGCTGTGGAGAGGAGGAAGTGGGAAGCTGCTAATTAACGAAGGTTCAGCTATGAAAGATGAGAAAATTCTCAAGATCTGTTGTACAACTTGTACCTATACTGAACAATGCTGTATTTTACACTTAAAAATCAGTTAAGAGGGTGAATCCCATGTTAAGTGTTCTTACACACAATAAAGTAAATTTCAAAAGAAGTTAAACGATAAGAGTGTAACTGTTGAAAATAACATCATCACATATATTCACTTCAAGGTTCCTTCCAGTTTTAAAATTCTACTCAGAAGTCTTCAGTGTACCAATTTATAGAGTTGAGCTAAAACCTAACAATTCTGTTTCTGGGTAATTTGTTCAGTCACATCAGGATGTATAAAGGCTTCCTCGAAGCAAATTAGTGATACTTTTAATCTAAGGAGTGGTCTCCCTGGCTGGCTTCCCATCCTCTGTTTGCCAATTACTTTCTACAATATGTGGACAGTCTGAGGGACAAGTTGTGCCAGGAGGGGGCAAAGGCAGAGATAGAGTGAAAAATCTCCTCTGCCTCATCCCCTCCCAACACAGGATTGCTGGATGTAAAATCACCCAGAAGTGCTTTTTCTGCTTTATAAAAGGCATTACTATGTTCTGCTCTGCATGGTTCCAAGATTGTTCCTCAGCAACCTCAGAACAAAAAAGGATATCCTTTTCCTTAGAATCTTTTACTCGGTATATTAACTTGCCGAACTCTATACAGGTTGTGAGTTTGTTTATAAATCAGAATCCAGGCTATCTCTTCTCATAAAAGTGCTAATAAAAACATAAAAATTTTCTCAGATCAGACCACAAAATCTTATCTAACCCCTGATGTATCTAAAGTAGTAATCATATTGGTTGCCGGGTTTTGAGAACTTACAATGTGCTTATACCATGCAATGTTCTTTATAAAATTAATCTCATTTAACACTCCTAATAACTATATGAGTTAGAAACAGTTTCAATAATACACATGAGGAAACTGAGGCCCAGAGTTCAAGAAATTCTCTGAAGGTCACATAGCAAGTAAGTAATAATGAAGGCTCTTAAAAGTAGATGTAGGGGGGCAGAAGAGTATAGGTAAGAGTGATGTCATATGAGAAAGACTCAATTTGCCCTTGTTAGCTTTGAAGTTGAAAGGGGGCAATGAGCCAGTGAATGTGGTCAGCCTCTAGAAGCTAGAAAAGGCATGGAAATGGATTCTCCTCTACAGCCTCCAAAAGGAAGGCAGCCCTGCTGATATGTTAATGTTAGCTGAATGAGACCTGTTTTAAACATCTGAACTAAAGAACTGTAAAATAATGAATATGTGTTGATTAGGGGCACTAGGTTTGTAGTTGTTGCATCAAAAATCGAACTAATACATATAGACACATGATTAGTTATCAGGATGGGTTAATTTAAAAGAAGTATGTTTTTGTCCCTGTGGCCATCAACTATTCAGGGTAGTGTTTTGAGACCGAGTCTTGCCCTGTCACCCAGGCTGGAGTGCAGTGGCCGATCTCAGCTCACTGCAACCTCCACCTCCTGGCTTCAAGCAATCCTCATGCCTCAGCTTCCCAAGTAGCTGGGATTACAGGTGTGTGCCACCACACTCGCTTAATTTTTGTGTTTTCAGTAGAAACAGCATTTTGCCATGTTGGCCAGGCTGGTCTCAAACTCCTAGCCTCAAGTGATCTCCCCGCGTCATCCTCCAAAAGAGGCGGGATTACAGGCATGAGCCACTACACCCAGCTCGCGGTGTAGTTTGTTTTTTTAAGTGTTACAATGAGGGTAGCCTTCACTTTTACTGTCGTTTGAACCTACTCTAATCAGCAACACCTCCAAATACACACACATGCACACACCACTGAAATTGTTCTTATTAAAGGGGATATAAACTAGAGAGAGCATGTAACTTTATCGGTCAAAATGGGAAAGTTTTAAGAGTGAATAGGAGTGTTAGTAATTCCACTGTAGTAACTGCTATATATTAGGATTTCCCAGACATCGTACCCTACTGTTTTCCTAAATTCACTGAATAATTTTCAATCATCATGTTATTTGAACTCATCAGCAATATTTAATGTAGTTAGGTATCTTCCTTTCTCTGAAAACACTTTCTTCTGGATTCCAGAATGCCACATCTATCTTCTCCTTTTTCTCTCCCCTTTCTAGCCACCTTTTTCAGCCCCTTTGCTGATGCCTCATCATATATACATCTAGAGATCTCATCTGTCTACACATTTTTCCTTGGCAATCTTATCCTGGCCGATGGATTTAAATAACATCTATGTGTTGACTTCTAAATTATTATCCTCAACTCTGATCTTAGAACCCCTTCTTTACATGCATTCATAGCCTCATAGGCACCTCAAGATTAATATGTTTAAAACTGAAATCCTAACGTTCACTCCCAAACCTGTTCCTTCTACAGTCTCACCCATCTTGGTTTGTGGCAACTCTATTTGGCCAGTTGCTTAAGTAAGAAACCTCACGGTAATCCTTGATTTCTCTAATTATTTCATAAGTCACATCTACTGCATCAGGAGGGAAATGACTTTGATGAAATATTGGCCTCCAATTCTGCTACCAGATATGCTATGCTAGAGGATCATGAAACAGAAAAGCTCACAGATAAAATTAAAAGGCTCATATCATACCATTTATTTTTTTTATTTATGTATTTTTGAGACAGAGTTTCACTCTTGTTGCCCATGCTGTAGTGCAATGGCATGATTTCAACTCACTGCAACCTCCACCTCCCGGGTTCAAGTGATTCTCCTGCCTCAGCCTCCCGAGTAGCTGGGATTACAGGTGTGCGCCACCACACCCAGCTAATTTTGTATTTTTAGTAGAGATGGGGTTTTACCATGTTGGTTCGGTTGGTCTCGAACTCTGACCTCAGGTGATCCACCCACCTTGGCCTCCCAAAGTACTGGGAGTACAGGCATGAGCCACCACGCCCGGCCTTACCATTTATTAAATGAGTTAAAAACGTATGGCATGAGGGAAGACAGCAGGAGGATAATAAAATTAGAATACTTTCAGACACAGATTGTTTTGCATGTTTATGTGTCACTTGCTTCAATAACAGTACCTGGCACATAATAGGTGATTCAAACACAAGCGCTAAATAATCAAATGTATGAATACTGCTCTATGTGTGCGTAACGCAATATATAAGAATCACCGTCGAGAAAGTGCAGCGTCACCCTACTATAATGAGCATGGGCATGGAGTTGAATAAATGCAAATTTGAATTCAGGTTCTGCCACTTACTAATTAGGCCTAGAAATACAAATTAAGTTGGCCAATTTAAAACAGAGACAAAAGCACTCTGAGCTAAGGGAAGCATAAAAGCTAATATGGAAAATTTTGGGGCACCTGTGTGGGAGAACGAGTGATGTAATTTGGTTGAAGGAACATGAAATACGTGTGTAATGAGCATAAAAATATAAAATATTAATATATCATAAATCTTTTCGAGGCAGTTTAGGAGAGTAGCCTTGTTATATGGACAAAATTAAGCGAAAAAAATTGTATTATTAGGGCTCTGAATAACATTAAAAAATGGACAAGAAACTTCATAATAAACTTCACTTGGAGACATACTAGGTTTGAGATATTAGTGGATATCAAGGTATAGATACATACAAAGAGTTGAAAATTAATTGGAAATGTGGCTATAACTCAAGTAAGATTGGAAGTGGTGAAGACAGAGATACAATGATCATTTGCATACAGATTGAATACAGATTGAAGCCAGGTTATTAAATTATTATTAAATTATGTTGATAAAAGAACAAGTACAGAGATAAGAATGCCAAGATATTTCCCATGAGTTTCATAAGCTAAAGAAGTTGGAAGAACAGAAAGAGCCAGGTAATGAAAGACACAGAATAGTCAGAGAGGAAGAACCCGCTGAGTGTAGAGGCTGAGAAAAATGTTTCATCAGTGGTAGAAAGTTAGGAGAGCTGAATAAAAGCCATTTGTCTCTGTGATTAAGAATACTTATTTGTTGAATAAATAAATGAAGTTAAAGCAGAGTGATGTGTCTGGGGAGTGAGGGCATGCACGTGTTTTCCATAGGGGACAGTCACCCACATGGCTCTCTCCTCTTATAGAGAACGTTATTTTTCTCTGTAGACCAGCAAGTAAACACTTTAATAAAGCTTTCTGATGGAATCAGATCCAGCCTGTCTTGAGTTCCTTTGAAGTAGAGCAGGTACAGCCTGTAGGGGCAGTGAAAGCTCAGTCCTTTTGACACTTTTGAAATAAATGTTCTTAGTGTGAATAATTAAGGCATACACTTATCAAACCTAACTACATGTAACATCATCTTCTGATATGCTTCCTTTAGTGACAGAATATATCATTCCCCATCCCCCATCTCTTGTGATTTGTGCTGTGTCTTTTTTAAATGATAAACATTACATTTATTTGAATGGCTTATTTTAAATAAAACAAGTAAGTGAATTTGTTGAATTATCTGTGATTTATGACATATTATGTATTTGGTAATATTTACACAAAGGTAGAATGAGCAGAGCCTAGCAAGATGTAAGTCCATTTGTAATTACTTCATTAAGGAGTCATACCTGAGCGATGCCTTAATGAAGGTGGTGATGAGGTGAAAATGTGCTACCAGAATAGGCATTGGAGAAAACCTAGAAAAGGCAGCTCAATAAAGTGATAATGAGAGGGGGAAAAAAACCCCTATATCTTTGCTTGGTGTATGCTCCTTAATCTTAGGAGGTGGCACTTATTCCTTAAGTCTTGGTGATTTCAACGGAGGGAATGGTGATAAATTGAGTCTAGAGAGTCGATGGAGAGTCAAGAGGTCCAGAATGAGAGAGAGTGAGAAGAGAGCTTTGCAAGTAAACTAGCCAAGGATGGAGGTCATAACTATTTCAAAGCTTAGAATTTTCAGCTAATGCATCGATTAACTGCCAAATAAATTACTAATTAAATGCACACCACTATCTTAACAAAAAATTGAGTCTCCAAAAATGTACACATTTTTTAGCCGATAGGATCAGGTCTATCATTTTTAAACTCCCATTCATAGTGTAGTTTTGATAAAAATCACATCCTCTAGCACGTTTCGAATTGGCTCCATTGAGCAAAATAAATCATTTTTGTTAAAAAGTAATTCTTGCAAATCTAGCAATCCTAGCACATTTCATTCCCACGCTGTAACATTTATAAGGCTATTTCTTGTATATTGGGTTCCATACAATATTGAAAGGGTGGAAAACTCCACTGAGTCTTCCTCATATAGAAAGTACTAAACATTGCCGAGAATATGACCTGGTTTCAGTGTGACTTTTTCTTATAAATACTACAGAGCCTGCTATACACAAGTTTAAATTAGCAAAATTAAAGGAGAGCATATGAAGAAGCTTGCAGTTATATTTTTCTTACATAGAATATATATTTTAGAATGAATAGATAAAATAATTCACTTAGAATGTATGTATTTCCTTTACGTAGATCCAGAAAAATCTCCCCAAATAGTGTAATTAGCAATTTTCACAGATGTACCTACACTTTTCGAAGTTACATATATAAAACTTTTCATGAGCCTCATGTTTTTTATAACCATTAGCAGCCTTTGTCAAAGAGAACCTTAGAGGTTATTACATAATGAAAGTAGAAACCATTACGGGAATTCATATTTATGAAGAATCAACGTATAGTAAACCTAGAGAAGACTCAATAACAAAGCAGAATCACATGAGGGAATCAATAAAACTTGGAAAAACAAACCAGCTCTTCACGAGGAGATAAAAGGCACTGAAAAATTCAAGCAAGTAAAAGCAGTGTTAGATTATCTTGGAAGCAGTTCTCTGGTTTGTACAACAGAGAGTAAATGTTGACAGACCTGTGAAGGAAATGGGCTCCGTGTAGGGTCAGAGGTGGTGACATAAGCAGCCTGTGTGTAGGCATAGCTCTTGAATCGAGGCTTAGGGGAAGAAGTTCTCTCATATCCCTGTGCTAGACTGACCGTGATCTGCAGAGAAGGGTTTGGGGGAGTGGATAGAGAGGAGGGGGAAAAACCATAAGTAACCCGAAAGGACTACTTTCCAACATGGTAGAAAACAGAACATTAAATGGAAATGGTGAGATTCAATGTTTAATACTAAACATATATAAATGATATTCGAAATTGGTATACTCCCAGAATGAAGGCACTTAATATCATGTTGGAGAGTAAATGATCTGGGAAGATATGAGCATGCTATTTAGCCATGAGGATTCCAAAGTAACACAACTCCAACATTTATATGGGATGGTACTCTTCAATCCGGCAAAAACAGGCATCCATAAGCAATTTTCTCTAAATCCAAAGTAAATAAAAACAGAATTCATCAGGTCCATACCCTGGAAAGGACTAAAAATTTCATAAGCTAATACAGAGCTAGCTCAGCAAAGTGAGAGAGTTTGGCCTAAGAGCTCTCCACACATTCAGCAGAAATGTTGCTAAAGGTTTCTTCACTGTTGTTTGTGCCTGAGAAAGCATAGGAAAACATCCAAACCACCCACTGTTGAGAGAAAGAACAAGCCAATGTCATGGAAGAACCCCACTAAATTCTATACAATTATGTAACGAAGAATTTCATCATGTTTTTCTTTATTGTTTATTTGAAATAGTTTAAAACACTTTTCTATTTTCAAAATTGTTATCCTGAATAATCAAAATCTGACTTTGTACATCATATTGTCATAAAGTATTTTTTAATGATTAAAAACTGTATTTGCCTTTAATCTTTCTCTAGCTCTTTGTTCTAGTTGATGAAGATTTTAGAGTTTAATATGTACGTAAGTTTGCCTTTCATTTCATTGTGTGTTACACAATGGAAATTTAATATATTATGTTCTATATTCCTATGATATGGTACATATGAATAGTATTTTTAAAATATGTTTTGAAATGAATATTGTAGTCAATGAAGCAAAATTGAAAAGGTTTAGTCTGTCTCTTTTTGTACATATACATACATTAGGCTTTGTATATATACACGTGTATATACATATAAGTTATATATATATGTGCACGTAATACCTAAAAATGCATATAAAACAGAAAACATCTTGAATAGTAGCTGTCCTTTACACACTTTACCTGTTGAGAATAGTGCATTTGATGATGTAACTGAAAATGTTCTTCTTTAGTCACTTTAGGTGGCCTTGGCAACATTTCCACTTCCTGGATGGCTTCAATGCTCACTTGTTGAGGCAAAACTTGGAAGAGTGATGTGATGTACATTAAGATGGACTTCTTATCTGGATAGGTGGTATCAACATCTGTAAGCACATTAACACTACACATCAATTTTTGGTTTCTATATTTGAGACTCTAAAAGGATAATGAACAAATCAAAGTTAAAGGAAGACGATAGATTAATGAACAGTGAATTGTCCATGAATGTCCTCCAGAGACTAATTAGAACATGAGAATGAGGCCTAAAATGTCTTTCCAATTTGGCAGACCAATGAGATGAGCAGTAAAGTTAATTTATTTTCCTTGTTCATATAAAAACTTCATTCCATATTACTTTTTCCTAAGTCAAATTGCCAAACTAGCCCATCTAACAGAGTAGCTTTCATTAGATAAGAAACAAAAATAAAAGATTACATTTTCCCTCCAATGGAAAGTTATATTAACATGTCAATTCAAATGGTGCACTGGTAATTAAACAAATACACAAAATGGTTTACCGCTTTGGTTCTCAGTAAAGAAACCTGATACCTTTTAACTGAATGTTGCTGATATTAAAGTATGCAGAGAGCTAAATAAGTCTCTGCTGAAATGAGTCATGTATCCACAATATAAATTAAACAGAAAAATACCATATAATGATTTTTACTATTCCGTGTATGTTAAAAATATTTGTTTACATTGTGGTGCATGGGATAAAGTAGAATATCACTTTCCTTCTCAGACATTAGAGACAAATGTAAAAGTCCCGCACATTAAGTTGATCTGACTTCATATCCTTTGCCACATCCAGAAAGTGAATGAAACGCAGCATTTAAAGTCAATAATACTTTGTAATAACACATATAAAGTGGCAGCTCCTTCAAAAGATTCATTTGCTACTTGGCATTAAAATTTACTTACTGCACTCATTCCAGTGAACCAAGATGTAAAGTAATCCTTTATGTGAAGTATGTCATTAGTACTAGAAATGTTAACACATAAGTTCTGACTATGAAATGCTAGCATTTCATTGTCATCCTTTTTCATCCTTTAAAAAGAAGGAAATTTTGTCATTGAGACAGCATGTGTAAATCTGGAGGATATTAAGTGAAATAAGCCAGGCACAGAAAGATAAGTACCACATGATCTCACTAACACATGGAATCTAAAAAGTTGAATTCATAGAAGTAGAGAGTAGAATGGTGTTTACCAGGGGCTGTGGGGCAGGGGTTGGGAAGATGTTGGTCAAAGGACACAAAATTTCAGTTAGATAGGAAAAATAAGTTCAGGAGATCTATTGTACAACCTAGTTTATAACAATGTATTGTATTCCTAAAAATTGCTGCGAGAGTAGATATTAAGTATACTCACCATGAAACATGCTAAGCATATGAAGTAAAACATGTATTAATTAGTTCAATGTAGCCATTCCAGAACGTATACATATTTCAAAACATCGTGTTGTACATGATAAATGTATGCAATTTTAGTTTTTTAATCATTAATGAATATAAAAATCAAAGATAAAAGATAAACATAAATCCTGGCAGGAGGTCAAGGTAATGTGGCAATGTATTTTCCTTGCCATACAATTTATCTTAGCTTAACTACTATTAAGATATCTGTATTCAGTATGTATATTCTGATCAGGTGTTCTGATTATAAGTGAAAAAGCCAAGAGTAAAGTCTCAAGTCCGTTAGCACAAAAGCAGGTTGAACAAGTGACTTCATCAATTCTTTTGCAAGTATCAGAACCATGATTAATCAGAACAGCTATTTTTAAAGTATTTTTAAAAAGAGTTACAAGAGACGAAAAAATTAATGTTCCTTGGTCTACTTCTATCCGTAGAACAATACAGTGCTTCTCAATTCTTAATGTACATATGAATCACCTGGGGATCTTTTAAAACTACAGAATCTGATTCAATAGATCGGGGTAGAGCCTGGAGCTCTGCATTTGCAATAGTCTCCCAAGTGATGCTGAAACTGCTAGTCTGCTACATTTTGAATAAGGGCCAAAAACATTACTTATAAGCAGACTGTTACATCATCTCCCGTTTTATTGTTTTATTCATTTATTCAAATGATATTAGACATTTCAATGCACAAGGCTGAAAGGTACAAAGTTATACAACACATATGGCTCAACTTATTACACTTTAATTATTAATCAACAGATGGTCAAAGTAATTTTTGCAAGTACTTTTTAAAGAAGAACTAAATAATATTTTGTGCATGAACACTGCCTTCCTTAATAATCTTACAAACTTAGCTTTGGAATTCTGAAGCCTAGAAATCTCCAATTCATTTGATAATTGTTTTTCAAAATATTTGACCAATTGTTTCTTATATAGTAGATACTATACTTCACCGTATCTTGAAATTCTAGAAAATGTTCTTCCTTCTCACTAGTAACTAGTCAGCTGTACCTGTGATTAGCATAACTTAGAGCTCTTTCATTTTTAGTATATTAAATAAAACCATGATGTGAGAAAACAAAAAGGGTTGAGCCTGTGCCTATTCACTGCTGTGTTATACATAGACACATGCATGTATGTTTGGTCTCAAATATATGCCATTATAAAAAGTAAAAAATGGTGAAAAATTGGCCAAGCATTATTTTTATTGCCCCCCAAAAAATTTCAAACATTGTAATAAATTTCATTTACATAAAACATGTGGACTAAATGCAGCTGTTCATAAATATCAGTCATTACAATAAATATGCACTTATTTAACCAAACTATTGCCATTTTGCCCCAAACTATTACTATCCCACTTCTGAGATTATGTGGAATTCAAAACTGCCAGTAGGTAGAAATAAGTAATTTTTGAAGAAAGGAATTTAGGTCTTCTAAAATATTTTGAATTTCATCAACATACATTTTCAAGAAATCTATTATATTCAAAGTATTTTAATGGATTATCCAGGAAATTTGAAAGATAGAAAATTCATGAATTCTGCTTCTAATTTGGAATAAGAAAGTAAATAATAGAAGTACAAAGTAATTGCATTGCTGAACAGAATTTAAAATGTGTTCCTCTAATTGGCACAACCAGTTGTTTAACATGTTCAGATTTTTAAAATCATATAATATTGGAGGATAAGGCAATTCTCTTTAAATAGGAAACTGAATTAATTATGCATAGGATTTCAATAGCTGGAAATGAGGGAATGGGGAAGAGTATTCGGGGCAGTGGGAATATGTAGAATAAACATGCAGAGGTAGGGACACATTAGCGATGTCTTGGCAACAGTGGCTTTGTGTGTCTTAGAGAGAGTAGAGTAGTGAAAACTAAGATGAAACTGGTAGATTGTACATAGAAAACTGAGGGATCATCAACAGCAAACTAGAAAACCTGGCCTTCATTCAATAGACTAGAGAGTAAATACTTTTCAATGAGAGGGTGACACCATCAAAATTTTATTAAAGTAAATTCTTTAAGTACAGAATGGATTGCTGGAGGAAAACTTGAGAGAAATAGGAGGCTAGGACCATAATCCAGATATAAAGTGTTCAAGATCTAAGGTACAACTGTGTACGGGGGAAATGAAAACAAGTCAATGAATGACAAAAATTCTAAGATGGATCAAAAATGACTTCATTCAATTTTCAAATCATTTACTCCACAGTCTTTGGAAATGCCTATATACAAAGTTATGTGCTACAGCCTTAGGATATAAAGATTAATAAACTGACAATAAAACAAAGGAGGAAGAGGACGAAAGAGGACACTGATTGTTCTGCAGCCATGGTAACAAGTAGACACCAACAAAAGTTTCAATCTACCCTATTTATTCATTTAACAATTAGTTCCTCCATGATTCTTATCATGCTTCCCCCAGCCAACCAGCAGCAAACACTCCCTTCTGAAACTTTGCCAGAGTGGATTCACTTCAATGAAGATAATTCTCAAACTAATTAACAATGGTCTCACCTGAGTTACCACGCTTCTAAAGCTATCATCATCCTATTCCCAATCTGAAATGTTCTTAGATTGCTGGACTTCTGACTCCCCCCGCAAAACCTAAGAATACGCTCCTTTCAGAGACTGTGGTTGACCAGGAGCATTCCCTCTTATTTAAGATGTTATGAAGCCCAAATCCAATGTTTAGTAAAACTGTAAAGTTTGTTGAACCTTAATACCATTACTATGTTGCATTTTTTTGTCATTTTTGTCATATTTTTGCTGTTTCTATCATTAACACAAAAACAAACCTAGTTGTAGGAGACCATTTGTATACTATTAACAGGAAGCCAGAAGAATTTACTTAGAAGGAAAAAGCATTTATCACTTATTCCATATGTGCTAAGTGATTGTCATGTGCTATAGAATATACTTAGACTATGTTAGATTATGAGTATATAGCAGATGAGCCACCCCATAATTATAAACATTACTTTTTATGGGAAATCAAAATAAATGTTATGGACTTCGGGGTAATCCTCATTTATGATGACTGCACTAAGGCCAATTCCTGGCACTCTGTGATCACCTAAGTATTTGTTAAGAAACTCAATACAGAGGACAGTTAAAGTCATAGAAATTGATGAGAATTATGTAAGACAGTGACTAAAGGCAATGGTATGATAATGAGTACTATAAAGTATTTGAGGAGTATGAAAATGATGGGATGTAATTTATACTTCTTATTACACGACATTAAGATTTTATGAAATGAGAGCAGTGGCTGAATCCCCAAAGTAAGAACTTAACAATTACATGAACGTAATTTTACACCAAGACTCTACTACATAAAATGCTCACGGACACCAGATTTTAATAATTGCTTATCCAATCTTTGAAGCCGTCTCAGAATGAAAATAGTGAGAACTCACAATACTGCTAGAGATTTTACTTTATGAACAATAACACCGTTTCTGATGAGTGTTTCATATTTGAGGATACTATGGAACAAATAAATCATTTAGCGAAATTTGATCATTTTTCGAATAAAGAAGTTGAACCTCATGGCGGTCTGAAGGCAAATTCAAAGGCTAGTCAAAATCAGATTAGAAACCAGTCATTGCACTACACTGCCATGGTACCTTAACCTCATTCTCTCAGATACTATCTCAGTGTATTTGAAGACCAAGTATCGCACAAAGTTTGCTTTCAACATGCCCTCACCCCAAGAAAGTCAATGTGAGTAAGTAAGATGAAAGCAGTGCCTTCAACAAAACTAATCTTGGGCAGTCAACCTCAGGGAAGTCCGATTAGCCAGTCGCTGGGTGTAACCTTCAAACACCGCTGGGAAATCTAAAGAAGAGGCTCTACTGTCTAAATTTCAGGCCAAGTTTCTGCCAAGGGACAGGCAGGAATGGAAATACAGAATTATAATGCATAGCATGTGTAATTGAAAACAAGCAAGATTTCAAAGATAGCAGGTATAAATGTGCACTCACAAAGCTTTAGTTGGTCAGTCTTTTAAGAGTTTTATTAAACAACAAAAACTGTGAGAGGATGTCATTTAGAAACCATGATGAGCATCAACCTCCCCACAGGGTTTGTATTAGGAAACAAAAATAAATAAATTCACTGAGAAGAAAAGGAATAGAGAAACTGGAAAGAAGGCACTTCTGGTCATAAACTAGCCATAGCCAGAATGCTCAAAATATGAAAACAGAAAGGCCTATATGTTGGCACAACCAAAACCTATGGTTGTAAACAATAACCTAATTCATTGATGTGATATTCTAAAAGGACAAAGTGCTGGAAGTAAAGTGGATTATTTTTTGAGGCTTGCATACGAAGAGATTTATGTTATAATATCATCTGATATCTAAATGCTGGAGTTTCTAAGTTGTAGACCATATCATGGCAATGGACTAATTCATTAAAGCATGATATTGTTATTTTTAATATTTTGTATTTGGCATTCAGCACTGACTGCATTGTACATACATGTATTCTCTACTTACAAGTCACTATATACAATAGATATACAACATTTTAATTAAAATTTGCACAACTCCTCCCATGTTAAATTTTTTAACATTCTGCAAGATATGTTCTGCCTTAGCTAAATTAAGTACTCCTTAATTAATCCATTTTTAGCACTTCATTCACTGATACAAGCAGTTGCTTTTACCATTTAGTAACAATGCTTCTCATTAAAGGACGGTAAAATGTCATAATGGAAATAATTTGCGTTGATGAAGATGATTGAATTTCATCATAAAATTAATAACGATAAAAAGTAATGGCCTATATTTATCCAGGAGAAACACAAAACAATTTTATCTTTTGCACTTTCCATTACGCTTTTCAACATGCTTATGGTGTAACTAGCAGAAAACTATCACCATCATCTTGTTACAAGTAGAAAACAGTGGCTCAGGCTGGGCGCTTTAGCTCATGCCTGTAATCCCAGCACTTCGGGAGGACGAGGCAGGTGCATCGCCTGAGGTTAGGAATTTGACACCAGCCTGGCCAACACGGTGAAAAGCCGTCTCAACTAAAAATATAAAAATTTCTCCACATCCTCTCCGGCACCTGTTGTTTCCTGACTTTTTAATGATCGCCATTCTAACTGGTGTGAGATGGTATCTCATTGTGGTTTTGATTTGCATTTCTCTGATGGCCAGTGATGATGAGCATTTTTTCATGTGTTTTTTGGCTGAATAAATGTCTCAGGGATCTAGAACTAGAAATACCATTTGAGCCAGCCATCCCATTACTGGGTATATACCCAAAGGACTATAAATCATGCTGCTATAAAGACACATGCACACGTATGTTTACTGCAGCACTATTCACAATAGCAAAGACTTGGAACCAACCCAAATGTCCAACAATGATAGACTGGATTAAGAAAATGTGGCATATATGCACCATGGAATACTATGCAGTCATAAAAAAGGATGAGTTCATGTCCTTTGTAGGGACATGGATGAAGCTGGAAACCATCATTCTCAGCAAACTATCACAAGGACAAAAAACCAAACACTGCATGTTCTCACTCAGAGGTGGGAACTGAAAAAAGAGAACACTTGGACACAGGAAGGGGAACATCACACACCGGGGCCTGTTGTGGGGTGGGGGGAGTGGGGAGGGGGGAGGGATAGCATTAGGAGATATACCTAATGCGAAATGACGAGTTAATGGGTGCAGCACACCAACATGGCACATGTATACATATGTAACAAACCTGCACGTTGTGCACATGTACCCTAAAACTTAAAGTATAATAATAAAAAAAAAATGTAAAAATTAGCTGGGCATGGTGATACACGCCTCTAATCCCAGGTGATCCCAGCTATTCGGGAGGCTGAGGTTAGAGAATCGCTTGAACCAGGGAGGAGGAGGTTGCAGCAAGCTGAGATCGGGCCACTGCACTCCACCCTGGGTGAGAGAGTGAGACTCCATCTCAAAAAACAAACAAACAAAAAATTAAAAAAGAAAAAAACAGTGGCTCAAAATGCATAATGCTTGCCTAGAGCATAACAGGGAAAAAAGGAAAATCAGATGCTTTTAGAAGACTGATACACTGAAAACTATTTGAGCGTTCTGTTAATCAATAAATCCTAAACCTACCAATACAAATGGAACTTATCATGCAGCCAATCCAGTAAATAATGGTAGCTGGAAGTAATGATAGTGATTGTAAAAACTATGGCTGGGCATGGTGGCTCATGCCTGTAATCCGAGCACTTTGGGAGGCTGAGGTGGGCGGATCACCTGAGGTCAGGAGTTCAGAGACCAGCCTGGCCAAGATGGTGAAACCCCGTCTCTATTAAAAATACAAAAATCAGCCGGGTATGGTGGTGCATGCCTGTAATCCCACCTACTCGGGAGGCTGAGGCAGGAGAATTGCTTGAACCCGGGAGGCAGAGATGACGGTGAGCCGAGATCACGCCACTGTACTCCAGCCTGGGAAACAGAGCAAGACTCCGTCTCGGAGGGGGTAAAAAAAAATCTATATTGAAAATATGAGACACAGAAAAATATACTCCACAAACGTTTATTGAGTTACTTTGTGCCAGGCTATATTTTAGACTTTAATAATACAATGGTAAATAAATGATCCCAGAGATATGTTCTCATGAAAGAATGACTGTAATGGGAAAGGAAGTTACGAATAAATAATTTCAAAATTCTCAGTTTACCACTTGCCACTGTATCCCTGCTTCATTGAATTGCCTTCCATAAAAGCCCTCTTCGCTGGGATAGTTTTTGGAAATTAAATCAGAATGGAAGCTCTGCAGTGTTAATACCAAACATCCTGAGAGTGCCTCAGAGCAAATGCACAGAAGCTGGTGGGGAAAAGTCAGTTAAATGAAAATTCGCAACCAACTGTGACTTTAGGAGTTTTAAATAAGACGTGTTTCAGTTGAAAAGTTTTTCAAAAATCAAATTTCTGCCGTGTGCCCTAATCAACAGGAAAAGTTCTATCTTTAAATTTTCAATTTCCAAATGCAGGAAATTTTCAAAATTGTCTCTTCCGTCACAATTGTCCTAAGTTTACATATGTTAAATATATTTTATTTGAAAAATACATCCTTGACTATTTAAATCCTTAGAACAAATATTTGGTATGTAACTTCTAAACCCAGGAGAACAGACACTAACTTGACATAACAAATGGAAGCTACTCAGTCAGCATGGGAGACTACAGATAGAAAAACATCTGTACTTTCTTACAATTCTCTCGACATGCCTGTTGTGGGAAGAACTATTAGGGTTTACATTTGAGATGAAAGTATTTTGACTCAGTGACATTTAACTCTGCTTAAGTGATTGTCACCTGCGGTTTTCGTGCTTTGCTTTTGACCTAACCAAATTGACTTTTTCTTTCCTCTGCTGCTAGAAAAAGTATAGTCAGTTTCAGAAGTAACTCCACCCCTTATCTTCCTCGCTAACATAAAATAGTCTATTTGTGAACCTTAATTGTTTACAGTGTTAGAAGTTATACTTGATACACAGTGAGGCCAGAATAAAGATGTTTATTTCATGTGACATAAATTTAATTGGTTATTATTCTTTCTGGTATATTTTGGGATTTCAAAATATGCCTGATGGTATAAGGGCAGTCCTGGGGCAAATTACTCAATGATGACTAGCTTAACGCAGATATTGTACAAAATGATCAGGTTTTTTTTTTTTTGAAAAAAATATGGTAAAAATGGACCCACTACATATAAAAGAGCTTAGCCTGTTGAGGCAAAAATACCTTGATCAAATCCTGACCCTATCACTAATAGGTAAGGGACTGTGGTAAAATTCACTAATTTCCCTGTCCCAGTTTTTATCTATAAAATGAGTCATATTAGTATCTTGCAAATAATTAGGGATGATGTTAACAGAGAAAATGAATGCAAAGTAAATGCTCAATATATACGATCTATTATTTTTCCTGATTTCCTTCCAATTGGCACATAATTGTAATTCATAGGTTTGCTTGCATTCATGCCTTCATTAAGTATTTGTGGAATGCCTACCATGTGTCAGACATGATACCAATTCACCAAGCAATTAATCACGTTTTATAATTAGAATGGCTCCATTTCCTAATTCCTAAGGAAGAAACGAGTGGACCATTGGACAAACCAGATGGCATACAACACTGATGTGACTCTCTCAGCACAAAACATTTATGTGGGATGGTGTCATGGTGGTATCATATGTCATACGCAACATCAGAATAAGGGGTTCAGTGTTGAGCAAAACACCATCACACACAAACTTCAACAACTGACAAAATAACTGATGGCGAATTAAGTTTTCCTGAACTAATCCAAAGTTTTCAGTAGTACTCTAACTGAAAACTGAAACCAGTGGACGAACATCACGCATTTGTGTATTTTCTAAGCACTACTGGAGGCATGCTGATGAAACACACCCAATCAAGAAGTAGCAAACTTTAACCCATTTTCAAATTACAAAGATACATTTTCCTTTTGACAGTACTTATGAAATTTCATTTGAGTTTGGAGTTTCTGGCTTCCACCATTGTAATTAGGACCTCCCAACTACAAATACAATAATATCCATGGATGTCAAGTAATTTCCAATGTGAAAAAAATGCAATTTAGAAATTTACAGAAGTGAAGATAATCAAATGTGAAGCATTGATGGAGAAAGGTACAAGTGAAAAAGAGAGTAAGCATCCAAAACCATGTAACACAAATATGATGATGATAAGGGATAACTTTATAAAAGAGAATGTAATAAATGATGTTAAGAATGCGTAAAACATAGCTGAGATTGATTTTCATTAAAATGTATATACTAAAGTATATTTTTTGAATAGTGAATAGAATTTGATGTATGTGTTAAAAGACACTGCCTTCCATGCCTGTAAAGTACAGCATGACCCAATCCTTCACACTTAGCTAAAAGCACTCTAATGTCATCCCTCTTTCTCTTTCACACATTGGTCTTGTTTTGTTTTTGCATCTCAAATACCGAAGGCCATTTTACACCTCTTGATCTTCATATTTGGTGCTCTTTTACCTAAAATAATTTCTCTTTTTGCATTTTTGATTCATTCTCACCCATTAGGTCTTAACTCATATGGCACCTCTTCAGAGATGCATTTCCTATCCCATTTAAAGAAGCCCAACCCCTTTCCCTTTATTTTACATTGATTTCCTTTACATTGCTTGTCACAAACTGTCATTATTATGTTTATTTTTTATATAAGAATATAAAAACCACAAAGGCAGGAACTTCCTTTAGATTGTTTTACCAATGACTGAGAAGTAGTAGGTACTCAGTATTTGTTAAATCAGTAAATGAATGGAGAGAGAACCTTTTGGGAATAAAGGTTCATTTTCATGGTCTACACCCCCTGAATGTAGAGTAAGACACATGTTGAAAATTGAGCACTGCTTGAAGGGGCAGAAAGCACATAGCAAGGAACAGGAGCAGCCTGTATTTTTCTCCCTACAAAATTCTGCAAAAGAGATTCAGTTTGGTATAGAATTAGTTTTTATCAAGTATCAATTATATACAAGAACTTTTATTATGTTTTTTTTTCATTTAAATTCACCACTCTCTTGTGAGTTAAGAATACAGCCCAAGGTCATACAACCAATAAGTGACAGTCTGATTAAAGTGGAAAAAAAAAAGTAGAGTCCTTGGTTTGGCTCCCAGTTCTTTCATTTTGTGACCTTGGATAAAGTTAAGCATAATGCACCTCAGCTTCCTATTGTATTGCAAGAAGTTTTTCTTATTGATCACATTTCCAAAAATAAGACTTGATTTGAAGAACATCTCATGCTCTAGAAACTGTATCAGATTATTTTTAAGTGATAGGGAAAGAAGCATTAATTTCCAAATTAGAGAGCATTAGCAGGTTAATCAAGAAGCCTATGAGTGATGATGACAAAGTTAGTACATTTTAAATTCAGATTGAAAATACTCAAGACACAGGAAAACTAATGTTTTATTCATTGTTCTAAACTTTGGCATACACACTACAAAATAGCACCGTGCTTTACAAAAACGTATTTTCAAAAATAATATTGACTGATATCTACAGAAAAAAAAATGTACTCAAGTGCTCTCAGACTGAGGATAGGAAAAGCAGACTCCTTAGAACTTTGGAAGCATAGCTTCCAAAAATTTTGTGCTAAGCGTCTGCATACCTGGGGGTTTGAAAGATTCAAGTGTGTGAATTCCTTGTCATCTCACTAAAACTATGAGTCAGCGGTGGGTAGGATTCTACCAAATAATGATAATTGTAAAAAATGCTTTTTAAGCTCAGATATATGAGAAAGGGATTCAATAAAGAAACAAAAACCTAGGATGGTATACACACATTTATAAACAATATGATCACTAATATATAACTATAATATGCATGCAAACATTACATATTTGGAAAGCAACTCCCTTTGACTAGATATTAGCAACTTCAAAGACTAAATAGAGAAAAGGAAAGGCTTTGCGTAGAATCTTACTGCTATTTTAATTACTGAATGTTCCTTTTGTCCATTTGCAATTTTAAAATTTCTTCTTTCCTTTTCTCAGTGGCTGGATGAGGGTTAAAACTGATATGCTAAATACCACATAACCCATTTTCTTGGTATAGCTTCCAGTTCTTCTTGACTCTGAAATGTCGGCCTCTCTCAAATACCTCTCCCTCAGGTAGAGCTCTACTAGCAGGGGCCTGTCTTTCCTGATGACCAGAAACCCAGGGGCTTGGTATAACTATCTCAATTACTATATCCTATGGAGCCTGACTCCTTATCATAGCTCCAGTCCCCATATGGGCTCTGATCTTGGATTGACCAGATGGGTCATTTCCACTCTTATCTCAATGGGAACGTGCCCCTTGATTAGGAAAGCTTTCCCTCAGAGAAAACACATCCCATTGACGGTTTTGGCCCCAAGAGTTCAACCGTTAGTTGTCTTTGATATTTTAATTTCATAAGTCTGGATTTAATCTCTCACTTTTAAACATTTTATTACAAAAGCCATACATGCTTATTGTAGTGGAAAACTAAAACAGTACAGACGCATTTAAAGTTAATAGTGAAAGTACCCCATATCTCTACAGCACCACAGTCCCATTAGCTAGAAGTAATACTTGTCACCAGATGCTATGTCATCCATACATCCATGCATCTATCCATTCAGCCATTCTTTTAGCTATCCATTTATCATACTCATCTGCCTGTCTAATGAGATTAAACATATACACTGTCTATGCATGTACTTTCTTAAGATGTGCTCAATTAGTAAAGATTCAAAATTTAGCTTTACCACTCACTGGTATTATGAATTTGGATAAGAAACTTAATTTCTTCATTTCTTCATACCCTCATTGGTAAAATGAGGCAAAGACTTTTCCAAGAAGGTAAGTGCAAGTAAGGCATTTAGAGCAATGCCTGGCATAAAGTATGTTTTCAGCAAATTTCAAGTTTAAAATGTATATACACATGTATATATACAATGTGAACTTCAAAATTAATTTCAGTAATGCATGTATTCATTTATCCATTTATTTATTCTGTAACTATTTATTGGACACTTGCCATAAGTCGAGGATTATGCTGGACACTGCAGCTGAAATAGTGAGCAAAAATAAAAACAAACACAAACAAACCTAGACCCTGATTTTATGGTGCCTATAGTCCAATGGTAGAGATATATCTGCCTAACAGTCCATAGCATGAAAAATACTGGAGCTACTGTGTACAACGCTGCAATGAACATCCTTACACATTTGTCGTAGATATGTATGAGTATTACTATATATCTAATTCTTAAATGTGAAACCTCAGGATCAAATATATGTAAAATTACATATTTTGAAAGATAATACTAAATTGTCTGATTAAAATATTACAAGTTGTGTTTCCTCCAAAAGAAACACAGGGCCTATTTACATGAACCCTCATAATAAGAAGATATTTGTACTATGCATTTATTTATTAGTTAAGCTTAATTTTATTTTGATGGGCTATTTCTAATTTTCCCAAGTGAATGTCCTGACCATAATATGTAGCCACTTTTAAAATATTATACTTTGTATATTCATTGTAGGAGTGTTATCATACTGAGGTTATTGATTTTTTATTACTAGTGTCATTCTGCAGTCCATCATAGGTTTTATTACTGTTTAATGGTCTTTCACAATGGAAAATATTTTAATTTTGTGTTGGTAAATTTGTCGGTATTTTACAGCCTCTAGGTTTTATATCACCTTAATATTATTGTAATATTCTTCTACATTGTAATAAAGTATTTAAATGTTTATTCACATTCAATCATTATCTGAAAGTTATCTTAGTATTTGTTGTGCCTTGGGTTTCCACAGTTGAAGGCTTTATTAGCTAACCTATTCTATCTCTAGAGACATGAAATGTCACCCTAATTGTGTACTAAATTTACCTAAATAAAAGGGAATGTTGTCAAAATATCTATTCCACACCATTAAATTATTTCTCTATCATGTCATACTATGTTAAGTATGTTATAAAATCTACTAAAGCAAATCACCTGTTTGAAAATAATTTCTTAACTGTACTCACGCATTTACATTTAAACAAATTTTAGAATTATCTAGAAAACTGAATCCCTCTTACCATTCATGTGATTTATGTTCAGTGTGCTCACCCTGAACATAAACACCCTTTCTTCTCTGCTTATTCTCTAAGTGGCTGACCCTTTCACACTGTATCTCCTGTGATCATTAGCTGGCTAGATTCCAGTTGCATTAAGCTGGTGGGAAGTACCAGCTGGAGATTGAAAGAAGAGGGAAAGAGAAAGCTGGGGAAATTTCTCTATTATTTCCCTGCTCCAGAGCTGCATAATGTAGTATCTGAGTTCTACCAACAACTACATTCCCTCCATTGGTGCAGCTTTCACTGAACTCCGTTCCCCCTTTCCTTTCAGCTACTATATAGTAGGAATAGTAGAAATAGTAACTACTTCCTACTATTGCTCCTCTCTAGATTATTTCTTGTCACCTATTTGTTAATATATACTTCTGTAACTTTTAAAATACAATTATCTTCATTTTACCATCTGAGATAAATTCTATTTATTGCTAGGGTTCTGTTATATCCTCTAAAATAATACAAATATAGATACACAGAGAGTCGCATACATACATGTTTGTGGGCATGTGAGTGTGTAATTATACAGATGCTCCTCGACTTATGACAGGGTTACATTCCAATAAACCCATTGTCCATAGAAAATATAGTGAGTCAAAATTGCATTTAATACACTGAACCTGTCAAATATTATAGCTTAGCCTAGCCTTCCTTAAACATGCAAGAACACTTACATTAGCCTATACTTTGGCAAAACCATCTAACACAAAGCCTGTTCTATAAAAACTAAAGTACTGAATATATCGTGTAATGCATTGAGCACAGTAGTGACAGTGAAAAATGGCATGATTAAATGGGTACTCAAAGTACGGTTTCTACTGAACGCACACTGCTTTCACACCATCATAAAGTTGAAAAATCATTAGTCAAACCATCTTAAGTCAGGGACCATCTAGATCTTGATTGAAGTAACTTCAGGAACTTTAGATTTAAGGGGTACAAGTGCAATTTTGTTACATGGATATGTTGTGTAGTGATCAAGTCTCGGCTTTTAGTGTACCCATCACACAAATAGTCTACAATGTACCTAATAGGTAATTTTTCATCTCTCACCCCCTTCCCACTCTCCCATCTTTTGGAGTCTCCAATGTTGAGTATTCAATTCTGTATGTCCATGTGTACCCATTGATTAGTTACCACTTATAGGAAAATACAGTATTTGATTTTCTGTTTCTGACTTATTTCACTTAGGATGATAGCCTCCAGTTTCATCCATGTTGCTGCAAAAGACATAATTTTATTCCTTTGTGGCTCGTTAGTATTCCATTATATATACACACCACATTATCTTTATCTACTCATGGACACAACTTGATTCCACGATTTTGCTATTACGCATAGTGCTCCAGTGAACATGCGAGTGTGACTGAAGTTACTTTCAATGTACAAACTAACTTAGGGAGAACTAGCATTTTCATCATATGTGACTTCCTTTCCTCATGTCTTTATTTATGTACTTATATACAACTTTAAACTTCCTATAAAAAAAAGCTTATACTTTCTTGTGCGGTTTACTTCTAAGAAAACTACATAGATTTTGGAACTTCTCTTTTTTAAAAATAATTTTATTGTGTGTTTTAAGGTATACACATGATGCTATAAGATACACATGTAAATGGTTACCATAATGAAACCATAATGAAAGAAATTAACATATCCATCATCTCACATAATCGTTCCCCCACCCTCTGACCACGAGAAGCTATAATCTACTCATTTAGTAAAAATTCTGAATACAACACACTATTAACTATAATCCTCATGTTTTATATTAGATCTTTCAACTTGTTTATCCCACATATTTGCTACTTTATAGACTTTGACCTACATCTCCCCATTTCCTCCTTCCACCCCCAACCTGGTAACCACTGTTTTATTCTCTCTATATAGTTATACACAATGGAATATTACTTGGCCTTTAAAAAGGAGATCTTGGGCCAGGCGTGGTGGCTCATGCCTGTAATCCCAGCACTTTGGGAGGCCAAGGCAGGAGGATCACAAGGTCAAGAGATTGAGACCATCCTGGCCAACATGGTAAAAGCCAATCACTACTAAAAATTCAAAAATTAGTTTGGCTTGGTGGTGTGCGCCTGTAATCCCAGCTATTCAGGAGGCTGAGGCAGGAGAATCTCTTAAAGCCAGGAAGTGGAGGTTGCAGTGAGCCGAGATTGTGCCACTGCACATCAGCCTGGTGACAGAGATTCCATCAAAAAAAAAAAAAAAAAAAAAAAAAAGGAGATCTTGACCAGGTGTGGTGGCTTATGCCTATAATCCTAGCACTTAGGGACTTAGGGAGGCCATGGCAGGCAGATACGCAGATCACCTGAGGTCAGGAGTTTGAGACCCTGGCCAACATGGTGAAACCCCATCTCTACTAAAAATGCAAAAATTAGCTGGGTGTGGTGGTGGGCGCCTGTAAATCCCAGCTACTTGGGAGGCTGAGGTAGGATAATCACTTGAACCGGGGAGGTGGAGGTTGCAGTGAGCCACTGCACTCCAGCTTGAGTGGCAGAGTGAGACTTCATCTCAAAACAGAAACACAAAAAAAGGAGATCTTCTTATTTGCCACAGGACAGATGGAGCCGAAGAACATTAGGCTAAGTGAAATAAGCAAGACACAGAAAGAAAAATATTGCATGATCTCACTTGTTTGTGGAAACTGAAAAACAAAAAGTAACTATGCTGAGTATCATTTTATTACCACTGTACATTTCCTAATTTTGAGATCATTTTACATAATGAGAAAATCATATTATTTTCAAATAATTTATCTTGTGCTTTCCAATATATATTTCATGTAACTTTCTCTCGTCATATAATATTGGCTAGGTTCTCCAGAAAAATACTGAACAGCGTCAATACAGAGGAGGAATATTCTTGTCGTATTTATTGTTTGAGTCATTCTAGCATATTGATATGATTTGGATTTGTTTCCTTGCCCAAATCTCATGTTGAGTTGTGTTCCCCAGTGTTGGAGGAGGGGCCTGGTGGGAGATGATAGGATCATGAGGGTGAATTTCCCAGTTGCTGTTCTCATGATAATGAGTTCTCATGAGATCTGGTTGTTTAAAAGTGTGTAGTACTGCCCCCTGCTTTCTCCTCCTTCTCTGGCCATGTAAGGTATAAGATGTGCCTGCTTCCCCTTCGCCTTCCACAAGAAGGTGGAAATTTCCTGAGGTATCCCCAGCCATACTTCCTGTACAGCCTGAAGAACTTTGAGTTAAGTAAACCTCTTATCTTTACAAATTACTCAATCTCAGGTAGTTTATAGCAATGCGAGAAAGGACTAATACAGAAAATTGGTACCGAGAGGTAGGGCACTGCTACGAAGATACATGAGAACGTGGAACTAACTTTGGAACAGAGTAAGAAGCACACGTTGGAACAGTGTGGAGCGCTCAGAAGACAGGAAGATGAGGGAAAGTTTGTAACTTCCTAGAGACTTGAACTGCTTGGACCAAAATGCTGATATTGATATGGACAATGAGATCCAGGCTGAGGTGGTCTCAGATGAAGATGAGGAACTTATTGGGAACTGCAATAAAGGTCACTCTCGCAATGCTTTAACAAAAAGAGATTGGCAGCATTGTGCCCCTGCTCTAGGTATGTGTGGAACTTTTAACTTGAGACTGATGATTTAGGGTATATGGTAGAAGAAATTTCTAACCAGCAAAACATTTAAGATGTGACCTGGCTTCTTCTAACAGTATACGGTCATATGTATGAGCAAAGAGATTATCTGAAACTGGAACTTATATTTAAAAGGGAAGCAGAGCATAAAAGTTTAGAAAATTTGCAGCCTGACCATGTGGTAGAAAACAAAAGCCTATTTTCTCGGGGTGGTGGGGGAAATTCAAGCTGTCTGCGGAAATTTGCATAAGTAAAAAGGAACTGAATGTTAATAACCAAGACAAAGGGGAAAATGCCCAAAGGCATTTCAGAACCCTTTGCAGCAGCCCCTCCTATCACAGGTCTGGAGGTCTAGGAAGGAAAAATGATTTCGGAGGCCAGGCCTAGGGCCTCACTGCTCTGCACAACCTCAAGACACTGCTCCCTATGTCCCAGACACTCCAGCTCCAGCTGTTACTAAAAAGGCCCCAGATGTGTCTTGGGGTGTTGCTTCAGAGGGTGCAAGCCATAAGCATTGGTGGCTTCCATGTGGTGTTAATCCTGCAAGTGTGCAGAGTGTGAGAGTTGAGGCTTGAGAGCATCCACCTAGATTTCAGAGAATGTGTGGAAACACCTGCATGTCCAGGTAGAAGTCTGCTGCAGCGGGGGAGCCTGCATAGAGAACCTCTACTAGGGCAGTGCAGAAGGGTAATGTGGGGTTAGAGCTCTCACACAGAGTCCCCACTGGGGCACTGCCTACTTGAGCTTTGAGAAGAGGGCCACTGTCCTCCAGAGCCTAGAATGGTCTCTCCAGTGACAGTTTGCACCATACACCTGGAAAAGCCCCAGTCACTCAATGCCAGCCCATGAAAACAACTAAGGGTGCTGTACACCCTGCTGAGCCACAGGGATGGAGATGCCCAAGGCCTTGGGAGCCTGTCCCTTGCATCACTGTGGCTTGGATGAGATGTGGAGTCAAAGGAAATTATTTTGGAGCTTTAAGATTTAATGACTACCCTGCTGGGTTTTGGACTTGCACAGGGCCTGTAACCCCTTTCTTCTGATCGATTTAACTCTTTTGAGCTAATGCCTGTACCCTCATTGTATCTTGGAAGTAACTCATTTTGATTTTACAGGATCATAGGTTGAAGGGACTTGCCTTAGTCTCAGATGAGACTTTGGACTGTGGACTTTTGAACTAATACTGGAATGAGTTAAGACTTTGGGGAACTGTTGGGAAAGCATGATTGTATTTTGAAATGTGAGAACAATATGAGATTTGGGAGGGGTTGGGGCAGAACGATATAGTTTGGCACTGTGTCCCTGCCCAAATCTCATGTTGTATTGTGATCCCCAATATTGAATGAGGCGCCTGGTGGGAGGTGACTGAATCATAGGGGCAGATTTCCCTCTTACTGTTCCAATGATAGTGAGTTCTCATGATATCTGGTTGTGTGAAAGCGTGTAGCATCTCTGCCTGCTCTCTCTTCCTCCTTCTCTGGCCATGTAAGCCGTGCCTACTTCCCCTTCACCTTCCACAGTGATTTCCTGAGACCTCCCCAGCCATGCTTCCCATACAGCCTGTGGAACTGCAAGTCAATTAAGCCTCTTTTCTTTATAAATTACCCAGTCACAGGTAGTTGTTTATAGCAATGTGAGAACGGACTAATACACATATCAAGATAAGGACATTTATTCCCAGATTAGTAAGAACCTTTCTCAGGACTTGGTAATGTATTTAAGCAAATGTCATTGGATATATTACTTTTGCTTTTACTGATAGGACTGACTAGTTCTGGCTTCCTGACTTTAAGAAAAGGAAGAACAAAGATTAAATATTACCTGTTCACTGTTTTGCATTTTATTATTAATATAAATATGTCACATAAAAACATCAATTAAATGAAAGCCCTGAATTTCATCACTTTAAAAGACTTTCCTTATTGCTCTTTAAAATATATGGCAAATGTGGATGGAAGTACACACTTAGCAAATAATTTTGTCAGCTAAAACTTTTTATTCCAATGTTGACTCAAGTGTAAATAGTTAATAACCTTCCATATTTAAAATGCTCCATTAGGTAAATAATCTGTAATTGGTGCCTCTTTATATCGGGGAAGAGGCTATATTCTTGGTAGCAAAATAGTCTGATTCAATTACCTACATATATAGTTACTCAACTAGAGAAGGTAGGCAAATAGGTGATTCACAAACACTAAACATAACTGGACATAGTTGGAAATACTATGAATCACCCATGCATCCTCTATCATGATTATCATAGCAGTGTTCCTCAAAGTATATCTCAACTTATCAGCCATTGCATCCACATAATCTGATGAATTGAAAATAATAATTAATATAAGATAGACTGGTTGGAAGCAAATAGCTTCAAATAGAAAGTATTACAAAGGTTCAGATAATCTTAATAGAGCTAAGCTTCTAGAGGTTTACATGAACCAAATAAAAATCAGCACTGAGCTTTCATATTCCTTTTCAATTTCTCATTATCAATTTGTTTCTCTGTGTGAGTGTAGGGTGATGAAGAATGAAGTAGATGAAATTTTCAGTAAAGTATACATATGTTGCCAAGAAATCAGAGGCAAATAATTCTATAACTTTGGGTCATTGTACTAAATAAAAGAGAAACCTTAGTATTGCAAAGTTTAAACTGATTATGTTAATATGCATTTGCCTCCAAATATTATAGTAAAATAATGGAATAACAAAATTTAATTCTGGTGGAAATATTTTGGATATTGTACAGATGCACATGATGCTTTGAGCATATTAAATGTAGACTTACTTTTGTGTTCTTATTTAAGTTATTTTCACTGCTTGGAATGCCTGATACTTTTTTTTTCATTTATTTAGCTGAATAAATGTACATTTACTGTTATCAGTCAGTCAATATCCAAATGCTTGGTGTGCAGTTATTTCCCAGAATACCTCAAGAGCTTGGTACACAATGCCCTTTTCCAACCTCTGAACGTTTATCACCAGATAGACTCTATCATATAATACGTTGTTATCCCAGCTTGCATGTGCACACGTGCACACACATACTATATGACCTGACCCATTAGAATTCATTCATTCATATATATATATATATATACACACACACACGTTTTAATATTAAAGTAAATTAAATATATTAAGTAAATAAAATACACAAGATACTTACAAGTAAAGCAAACAAGACAACATTACTAGCATTTCTTTGACTGTTTCTATCTGACAGAGCCACTCAACACTCGTAACACCTATTATACGAGTCAAATCATACCTTACAAAAGAGTTTTTGTCTACCACAATTCTTTATTGTTGTTACCTTTTCTAATTTTTTTCAGAATGGGAGGGGAAACAATATGAACTCCTAGAAGACAATGCATTTTAACGGTCTAATACCAAGACTGGCTCATTTTGCACCCATTAAATGCCTGTGAAAAAATTGACCAAAATTGGTCACAGATGGAACACATCTCATTGCTCTTCTTAGATAATTTCTATTACTTACATTTTCTTTTACAATCGTTTTTTTACTTAGCTCACATCCAAATGAGCAAATTACATTCATTTGGAAATGTTATTCGATTCACATTGTTTGCCCCCATGGGGATTTTTTTAACGCCTTTTTAGAAACTACTTAAATAGGTCCTAAATTTATTATCTTGGTCCATGGGTGTTGAATAAGCAAACTGAGAAAATCATTGTTACAACTGTCAATTCTACATTAAAAATGATGTTAAAATCTGGTCATACATCTCTGGATCTGACATATTTTAGATAAATATTAGAAAGGGTTAAGTAGCTGAGGCGATAGACATTTTAACTAGCTAGATCAAATCTTTCTCATAATGTATGCATAGATCAAAACACTACATTTTACCCCATTATTATCTGCTTTTATATTTTTTTAAAAAAGGGTTAGCTGTATATCGAAACTCTAAATTTATTTATCCCACATAACTGCAAGTTTCCATGTACACATTGACTTATTTCCTCACCCTCACTACTCCTGGTAATCACCATTCTACTGTCTATGTATTCAACTTATACATTTTCTTCAGATTTCAGATGTTAGATAACGTAGCATATTTTTTTCTGTGTCTTGCTTATTTCACTTAGTGTAATTTCCTTCAGGCTCACCTATGTTGTTACAAATGGCACTATCTTTTGTGAGGCTGAATATTTGTGTGTGTGTGTGTGTGTGTCACAATTTCTTTATCTGTCAGTGGACACTCAGGTTATTTTCATATCTTGGCTATTATGAATCATAACGCAATGAACATGAGAGTAAGGCTATCTCCACAAGGTTCTGATTTCATTTTCTGTGGGTCTATACCCAGGAGTGGGATTGTTGGGTCATATGGTAGTTCTATTTTTAACTTTTTGAGGAAACACTCCCAGACAATTTTCCATAATGTCTGCTCTAATTTACACCGACACCAGCAGTATGTCAGGGTTCCCTTTCCTCCTTGCCTTTACTGGCACTTGTTATCTCATCTTTTAGATAATACTCATCCTAACAGGTATGAAGTAATACCTTATTATGATTTTGATTTGCATTTCCCTAATAGTGATATTGAGCACGTTTTAATTTCCCTGTTGGCCGTTTGCACATCTTCTTTGAAAAAAAAAATGTTCAAGTTCTTTCCCAATTTTTTAATTGGGTTATTTAGTTTGTCACTATGGAATTGTGCAAGTTCCTTATATATTTTGGATATTAAACCCTTATCAGATATATGTTTTGCAAATATCTACTCATAATCTGTAGGCTGTGTTTTTCTTTTGCTTTCCAGAAGCTTTTTAGATTAATGTAGTTCCACTAGTTTATTTTTGTTTTCTTGCCTGAAATTTTGATGTGATATTCAAAAAATCCTTGCAAAGGCGACTGTCAGAGAGCTTTTTCCTCTCTGTTTTCTTCTAGGAGTCTTATGATTTTAGGTCTTATATTTAAGTCTTTAGTCCATTTTCACTTAATTTTTGTGTACAGTATAAGACAAGGGTACAATTTACAACACCATTTATTGAAGAGACTGTCCTTTCCCCACATATCTTCTTGGTGGTCCTGTCCAAAATTAGTTGATTATATAGGCTTAGGTTTATTTGTGAGATCTCTATTCTGTTCCATCAGTTTATGTGTCTGTTTTTATGGCATTACAATACTCTTTTTAATACTGTAGATTTATGATATAATTTCAAATCCAAAGAGCAGTATTTCCAACTTTTTTTTCCTCAAGATTGTTCTGGCTATTTGGGATTTCATGTAAGTTTTATAATGCTCTTTTATTTCTGTGAAAAAAAATGCCATTTAGATTTTCACAGGGATTACATTAAATTTGTACAGTCAACCTTCTATTTCCACGGATGCAACTGTAGACCAGAAATAATCAAAAATAGAACAAAAAACTCAATACAACAACAAAAAATATTAATACAAGTAAAAATAATATATGGTAACAACTATTTCTATAGCATTTACATTGTATTAGGTGTAATAACAAATAATCGATAGATGTTTTAAAGTATATAGGGGGGTGTGCATAGGTATATGCAAATACTATGCCATTTTGTATAAGGGATTTAAGCATCTTTGGATTTTGGTATCCACTGGCATCCTGGAACCCATGTCCCGTGGATACCAAGGGACAGCTATATATCCATTTGGGTAGTATGGAAATTTTAACAATATTACTTCTTCCAGTCTACAAACATGGGATATTTTCCCATATATTTACCTTTTAATTTGTTCCTCAATGTTTTATAGTTTTGGTTGTACGTATTTTTCACTTTCTTCTTTAAATTGGGTCTTAAATATTTTATTCTATGTTATCATAAATAGAATTTTTTAAAATTTTTTGGATATCTTTTGCATAAAAATGCAACTAATTTTATGTTGATTTTGTATTCCACTACTTACTGAACTCATTTATTAGTTCTAACATTTTTCTTGTGGAGTCCTTAGGGGTTTCTACATATACGATCATACCATTTGCAAACAGAAATAATATTACTTCTTCCTTTCAGATGTGAAAGCCTTTTATTAATTTTGTCTCACTGCTCCTGCTAGTATTTTTGGTACTATGACAAATGGAAGTGGTAAGAGTGGGCATCCTTGCTTTTTAGCAAATCTTAAGGGGAAAGCTTTCAGTACAACCACCCCACAACCACCGTTGATCATATTAGCTATAGGCTTTTCATAAATAGCCTTGATGTTGAGGAAATTTCCTTCCATACATATTTTGCGAAGAGTTATAATAATAAAAGGATGTTTAGCTTTATCAAATGCTTTTTCTGCATGTATTGAGATAATCATGTGGTTTTTCATCTTTCTGTTAATGTAGTATGTCGCATTGATTGATTTGTGTATGTTAAACCAACCTTGTGTCCTAGGGCTAAACCCACCTGGTCACGGTTTATAATCCAATGTGTTATTTGTCTTGCTAATACTTTATTGAGGACTTTCACATCTATATTCCTCCTAGATATTGGCATATATATATTTTCTTCTCTTGCGGTGTCTGTTTGACTTTCGTATTTAGGGTGATGCTGAAGTCATAAATGGCTTTGGAGGTATTTCCTCTTCTATTATTTAGAAGATTTTAAGAACAAATGGTATAAATTACTCTTTAAATGTTTGGAAGAAATGAGGAGAAGTAGGTCAAAGGACACAAACTTGAAGTTATATTGGATAAATAAATCTCGATAACTGCTTAGTATGATGACTACAGTTAATGGCATTGTATTGTACACTGAACATTAGCTAAGAAAAGAGACTTTAGGTATTCTTACCATACCAAAACAGTTATTATGGAAGATAATGGATAGGATAATTTGGTTGAATTCAGTAATCATTTCATTATGTCTATGTATATCGTAACATCTTGTACCCCTTAAATCAGGGGTATGTAATCTTTTGGCTTCCTTAGGCTCCATTTGAAGAATAATTATCTTAGGCCACACCTAAAATACACTAACACTAACAATAGCTAATCAACTAAAAAAAAAAACCTGCAAAAAAATCTCATAATGTTTTAAGAAAGTGGGTGAATTACAGTTAGGCTGCATTCAAAGCTGTCCTGGGCCACATGTAGCCCATGGGCTGTGAGTTGGACAAGGTTGCCTTAAGTACATCCAGTAAAAGAATAAAAACTAAAACTAAAATAATTAGCACATATTGTTGTATTTCAAATGATGACAATTAGATTCGACAGTTGACAAGTCAAATATAATACATTTAAATGGTGCAATTCTACTTCTTGAGGAAATCCTTTCAAAAAATTGGTCCAACTGGAATGTATAAATATACAATTAAGAATTGTGCATTTAAAATCAAAAGTAATAATAAACTCTAAATTAAATCAGACTTTTTTGCTGAAACTAAACGAGGTGAATAAAATAGGTGAAGTGAACCTAATTTATAAGGCTGTTATGGCTCAAATTCTTCAAATAAATTTCTGTTCAGTTCTTATCATTTTCATAAAGTTGATTTATGAGGAACTATGCAAATCTAGAGTAGTCTACTAAAGTCTGCTTTTTATATGCTTATTTCACACAAAATGGTTATTGACCATATGTATTTTGTCTAGGCCCTTACCAAGAGGAGCTGTTAACATAATTGATTTACAATTCAGTTAGGAAGAAAACATGTTAAAGCTAATTTTACTCTGAAACAATAAATCAACCCAATGTGAAGTATATCACAGCCCATAAAATGAACAGTGATCCAATTGTACAGTTGAACCATGTAGCTCACATATCCCATGGCACTTAAAATCTTCATCCAGTCATTAAATAAGTCTCAAGATCCAAAAGATTTACATAAGCACAACTGAATAACTTTATTAGCTCTTCTCTTCTGGGTTTATAATGATGAACTAAAAATACTAACCTGTTATAAATTACATCAGTAATCTTTCAGCTCTTTTTCTCATCATATTATAAATTTACAATGTTACTGAGATTAAAAAATGTTTATCATATGTTAATTATTTGCATGATCTTTAGCATTTTTAAACAATGGAAAAAAGAGAGCTACCAAAACCAGAGTTGTGTTCTTGGCATCAGAAAGCTCTAGTAAACATCAAATAAACTTTAACAGCTTAGTGCGTAAATAACACAGCCTCAAGTACAACACCTTAGCCACAGATAGTACTTAATAAATAGTCATTGTTTGGTTGTATCTGTGTAACACAACAGAAGAAAGTATACAATCCTAATCCTTGCTTTAGAATCTAGACATTGTTTTCTTAGCCATTTCTGCAATAACAGTTAAAATAAACGTACCAGCATTTCTGGTAAAGACTCTAATATATAAGGGTGTTCCAGAAATTTCAATATACTAGATTTGACAGTATGGCTTGAGAGAGGGATCCCACTGCTGAGCATTCTCTGCCTCTCATATCATGGATCATAGTCACTTATGAAATTTTATCTATAATATTGTAGTCCATAGGTATATATATGTATATGCATGCATGTGTTTATATACATGCTATGATTCTACAAAATACTTGACATCTTTAATGACCGCCTATAAAGATACACATGGGCTGAAAATGGATGAAAAAAGATATTCCATGCCAATGGAAACCAAAAAACAGCAGGAGTGGCTGTACTTTTTTCAGACAGAACAGATTTCAAGACAAAAACAAAGAGTCAAAAAAGGTCATTATATAATGAGAAAGGGGTCAATTCAGCAAAAGGATACAACAATTGCAAATATTTAGGCACCCAACACTGGAGCACCCAGATAAATAAAGCAAATATTATTAGAGCTAAAGAGAGAGAGAGATCTCAACTCAAAGGCTGAGTAGGGTACTAGGGGGTGGAGGTAAGCTGGGGTTGGTTAATGGGTACAAAAATTCCTTAGAAAGAATAAAACATAGTATTTGCGAGCACAGCAAGGTGACTATACTCAATAATTTAACTGTACATTTTATAATAACTCAGTATCATTGGATTGTTTATAACACAAAGGATAAATGCTTGAGTGGATGGATACCCCATTCTCCATGTGATTATTATTTACTGCATGCCTTTATCAAAGTATCTCATGTACTGTCTCTCTCTTTCTATACATATATACACATACAAACTATGTACCCACAAAAATTTAAAAAATTCCCCTGGAATATATGCAATTTCTAATAGGTATATCTCTTAATCTAAATAATGTTTTGAACATTCTCATATACTTTTATCCAATATATATGTTACAAATTTATTACAGCTGAAGAATCTACGCAATCTTAACTTTCTATGGAGGCAATGACACTACTATAAACTATTTATGACACTGCGGGGTTAGCAAATCAACCCATGAACAAATGTCATTTTCTCTTTTGATCATATTATTAGTTCGATAGATAAGGTCATATTCACAATGTAGCTTATCAATGTCTCCCATAATAAATTCACAGACAAAATTTTGAATCTGTACTAAAATATAGTATTTTAAAAACACACATGTGGCAGCACACCCTATCCAAAAAGTGATGGCAAATGGCCTTGTGTCAGTTTAAAGTTATATCTACTTGATGGTCATGTGACTCTCATTTGGACTGCTTCCACCAAATATACCTTGCCAATGATCTTGGATCTTAAGGCATAAAAATACAGCTATTATAATAAAATATTTTACTCTCCTGGAAAGGGTAGCTTTTACTCTTTGTAATAAAATTCAGCTATGGATGTCTTAGCTATAATAATATCGAAACCAGTAAGATAAAATTTAACAGATCACCTTTAAGTCTGAAATTAATATTGGAAAGAGCAGTTATAAGGACTGCATGGGTTTATAAATTATTTGTGGGAAGTTTTTTTTATTATTTATGACTGACATGATAATTATACATATTTATGGGGTCCAACACAATGTTTCTACACACAGACATTGGATGTGCTAATTACCCTGAATTAATTATCACATATTCAAAGAAATTATAAATATATAAGATGATGGATTCAGATATTATTTGAGAATCAAGGCAATTCAAATTCTAGGCCTAACGTTTACTAGATGTAGGAGCTATGACTACCATGACGATAAAGGACACCAAAAGTGAGCCCAATAATAAAGGCTGTGGGTATTCATCTTGGAGATGGTAGATTCATAAAGACCTTTTCAAATGGTTAAAGGCAGTCATGGTTCCTCTAGGTTGAAGTAAAATCAATGTGTGAATGTTACAAAGATACTGATGCTTCTTTAATGTGACAAATTTTAGGCATGATATCATCTTTAATAATTATAATAGACTAGCAAAAAAAAGATCTGCTTCAGAAACACTTCCAACTGGTACAAAAATTCAGTTAGTGAATGCATAGATATCTCTAATCTGCACTAGAGAAGGTAATCTGCCCAGATTGGCTTAGATTACACATTGTGTCTTATGTTCGCACACATTATCTCATTTGCTCCTCAAAAAATACTAAAGTAGGTGGAACAAGAACTATATAGAGATGAATTCATTGAGACTTGTATAAAAATGGTTTCACGAGACCATTGAGTTTATAACAGAGCAGAACTCTAAATTCTGATTAATGTTCAAGCAACTGACTAGACCACCTTCTAAATTCATTTACTAGAGTCCTGCTTACACCTCTATAATCACCTTAATTAATTTTTCTATATCAGGCCTCTGCTTGCATTGATATTATTGGTCCCTTCAGTGAATAATAAAATACTTGACGTTCCTATGCTGAATTTTTAGAACCAATATTTCCTTAGGAAAATATCCGGAAACATGACTTTCCTAATTTAGGATACATGTTACTGCGTCATAACAACAAATGTGTTAAAAGTATTTGTTGATGATTTTCTCTTAAATATAAAGGTTTCTATGATGTATATATACACACATATACATGTATATACATACACATACACACATATACATATTAGCCTTTAAAATATATTCCAATTCACTTTTATTTACCAAATTAGACTGCTGTAAAACATGATTACTAGAAAATGTACCACACAAAACTCTGATCACTCTGATCATACTTTTGTTTTTAATTTAACTTTTTTTGTAATTTAATCTCCATAGTTTATAAAGGGCATTACTGCTTGTCAGGAAAAAATGAGCTTGTATTTCTCAGCTGTGTGTAAATTACATGCATTTTATATTTTTTAGGCAAGGCCTCTATCAATCAATATTTTCAGAAAATGACACTCCTCAGTTAGGCAGGGATTGTTACTGAAGCTGATAAATGTTTACTCTTCATTGGAGACTGACAAATAGCATATGACATAGACTACTCTTATGCTCTTACACTGCTTGTACTAAAACTTGTCTAGAAATATAAAATTCAAAAATGTGATTTTCATGTAAAACTGCTTTCAAATTTCTTGTTAGGAAGCTTGCCAGACACTCCAGAGTAACATTTTGTGAAGCAAGTCAGTATTACACGCATAAGTAAATGAAGTAGAGATTTAAACAAAAATACAACCCAATGTTGTAATACAGGCAAAATATAATATTTTTAAATGATCACCATGTGAGGTCTATATTCAAATGTCTTTTCATAAATGGAGTCCAGGCACTCTTTGTAGTTTATCAAGAGCAGGTTTAACAGCAGTAGTTTCCACAAAGCAGGCTGAAGTCATTTAATCCATGGCTGCTTTTTATACGCAGCTGCTTTATTTGAGCTTAGAGAGGAGTAGACCACATAAATGTCATGTTAATATTCTAAAGTGAGTTAAATTGTGTTAGCAACAAAGCTTGTCTTATCAGACATTTCACCTTGGCCTATGAGAAAATGTGATAGTTATGGTATTAATTGATATTAATCAGTAAGGCAGATATCTTTGGGAATATAATGCATAGAAAATAGTATTTTCTTCCTCTTCTTCTTCCTGTATTTTTTTGAATCTCTTGGCTTCAGTGAGAACTTCCTGTTGGATTTATTCTTATCTTTCCTTAATTGTTTAATTTTCTTCTTTCCACAGTTCTTAAACTGAAGAAGGCCTGACGTTGGCCATAGCCACTTAAACACTGTTAGTCTTTCCATCTTGCCATGCCAAACTGAAATACTTTTACCTATCCACTCATTTAGTAAATATTTACTCAGTGTCTACCATTTTCCAACTACCACAAAAGGTGCTAGGGCGCAATTATGAACAAAGAAGTCAGCAGATACTTTTTTCACAGAGCTTACAGTACAGCAAACGGGCAACACGTGTAAGCAAGTAAGTTCAATACAGGTTGAACATCCCTAATAGGAAAATTTGAAATCTGAAATGCTACAAAATCTGTAATTTTTTGAGTAACTACACGATCATTTTTAAGGGAAATCCTTATTGAATCATTTCGGATTTCAGATTTTCAGATTATGGATGCTCAACTCGTATGTATAATAAAGATATTCCAAACTGAAAATATCCAAAATCCAAAACACTTCTGGTCCCAAGCATTTTGGATAAGGGATACTCAACATATATTTTGGGGCAAGTTTTATTATAGGGAAAGCTAACATTGCCCAATATTTAGTCTTGAGGCACAAAGTCAACCATTAATGTAGCACTTCAGCTTTGGAAACATTTCATGTTAATGAATATTTTGGCTGATTTTTCTATGTATGTATCTTCTGCCTCTTTTCAAACACTGATTCATGGTAGCTTGGCAAGCTGAATGATTCTCCAAGAGGAGTATTATATGCTTCAATGTCTTATCTTAACCACCCCCCCAATCTATCTTTAACATTTCCACATTTCATATATCATCTCAGCAGATTTCTACCCTTGTAAGTTTTTGTTAAAAAGAAATATGCCAAATTTAATAGAGTATCATAGATGAAGAAGTGTATATTTGTATACTTATGTCTCTTAAGGAGCTTTTTATACTAAGAAATTCAGAAAACTACATGTTCTGGTTCTTTAATAATTAAATATGTGTGTTATTCTTTTGACTTTCCTATCAAAGTAAAAACGTTGTCTCAGCAGGGCATTCAACATATCTTAACCATTCACCATAGTACTGACTATGTAATAAACAATTTTCTAAATGTACTAGCAAAACTAAAGCATATATAGTAGCACAGCCTCTGCTCTATATGACCATGGTCCAGGAGGTATACTTAAGAGTTGGTTAAATATTTATAGCTGAGTTAGTCATGTTTTTGGCTTTGGGAAACTGCAGTGTTCAGATCCCCACTGTTAAAATGTAACGTGGGCCAGGCACAATGGTTCACATTCCTAATCTCAGCATTTTCGGAGGCTGAGGCAGGAGGATCGCTTGAGGCCAGGAGTTTGAGACCAACCGGGGCAATGAAGCAAGACCCTGTCTCTACAAAATAACAATAAAAAATTGTTTAAATGTACCTCTGCATTGTGTTGTACACCTGCAATTCTAGTTACTCAGGAGGCTGAGCTAGAAGGATCACTTGACTCAGGAGTTGGAGGCCTGTGGTAAGCTACGACTGTGCTAGTGCACTCCAGCCTGGGCAAAAGAGTAATATCTTGTCTCTTAAAATAAATAAAATGTAATGGTGCCATAAGTAAATGCATAGATATGTGATCCAATCCATGAGTTTTAAAATATGTCAGGTAACACCAAAGTAGGACACAAAAACAATTTGAATGTTTATGAAAAAGAGTACTTCAACAGGAAGTAGACTTAGAGAGCCATAGGACAGAAGAGTGTCTTCCTAGGCAATAGGAATGACGTTGAATCACATTTTGGAAATAGTAAGATGTTTGCCCTAGGAATAAGCTTAAAGTAGTAAGAGATAAGACTAAAAGAAAGGACAGGACTAGAAAGCCTATGAAAAATATTAGTAACTACTGAGTTTGGAATCTTTAATATAGGTAGTGGGAGCCACTAAATATTTTGAATAATGAAGTTACATGATGAAATTAGTATTTTATTAAGAGTGTGGAGGCTATGTATTCAATAGATTCAAATATGAAAGAGATGGGAGATACAGAAAATTTTCAGCCATGAGCAGAAAAAGAGTAGGAATAGAGCCTACCAGTGGGAAAATTAAAACTTGAAATATTGGATCAGAAATCTGATTTGAGAGGAGGAGCCAAGATGGCCGAATAGGAACAGCTCCGGTCTACAGCTCCCAGAGTGAGCGACGCAGAAGACGGGTGATTTCTGCATTTCCATCTGAGGTACCAGGTTCATCTCACTAGGGAGTGCCAGACAGTGGGCGCAGCTCAGTGGGTGCGTGCACCGTGCGCGACCCGAAGCAGGGTGAGGCATTGCCTCACTCGGGAAGTGCAAGGGGTCAGGGAGTTCCCTTTCCTAGTCAAAGAAAGGGGTGACGGACAGCACCTGGAAAATCGGGTCACACCCACCCGAATACTGCGTGTTTCCGACGGGCTTAAAAAACGGCACACCAGGAGATTATATCCTGCATCTGGCTCGGAGGGTCCTACCCCAACGGAATCTCGCTGATTGCTAGCACAGCAGTCTGAGATCAAACTGCAAGGTGGCAGCAAGGCTGGGGGAGGGGCACCCGCCATTGCCTAGGCTTGATTAGGTAAACAAAGCAGCTGGGAAGCTTGAACTGGGTGGAGCCCACCACAACTCAAGGAGGCCTGCCTGCCTCTGTAGGCTCCACCTCTGAGGGCAGGGCACAGACAAACAAAAAGACAGCAGTAACCTCTGCAGATTTAAATATCCCTGTCTGACAGCTTTGAAGAGAGCAGTGGTTCTCCCAGTACGCAGCTGGAGATCTGAGAAGGGGCAGACTGCCTCCTCAAGTGGGTGCCTGACCCCTGACCCCCGAGCACCCTAACTGGGAGGCACTCCCCAAAAGGGGCATACTGACACCTCACACGGCAGGGTACTCCAACAGACCTGCAGCTGAGGGTCCTGTCTGTTAGAAGGAAAACTAACAAACAGAAAGGACATCCACACAAAAAACCCATCTGGACGTCACCATCATCAAAGTCCAAAAGTAGATAAAACCACAAAGATGGGGAAGAAACAGAGCAGAAAAACTGGAAACTCTAAAAAGCAGAGCACCTCTCCTCCTCCAAAGGAACACAGTTCCTCACTAGCAACGGAACAAAGCTGGAGAGAGGATGACTTTGACGAGCTGAGAGAAGAAGGCTTCAGACGATCAAATTACTCTGAGCTACGGGAGGACATTCAAACCAAAGGCAAAGAAGTTGAAAACTTTGAAAAACATTTAGAAGAATGTATAAGTAGAATAACCATTACAGAGAAGTGCTTAAAGGAGCTGATGGAGCTGAAAACCAAGGCTAGAGAAGTACGTGAAGAATGCAGAAGCCTCAGGAGCCGATGCGATCAACTGGAAGAAAGGGTATCAGTGATGGAAGATGAAATTAATGAAATGAACCGAGAAGGGAAGTTTAGAGGAAAAAGAATAAAAAGAAATGAGCAAAGCCTCCAAGAAATATGGGACTATGTGAAAAGACCAAATCTACGTCTGATTGGTGTACCTGAAAGTGATGGGGAGAATGGAACCAATTTGGAAAACACTCTGCAGGATATTATCCAGGAGAACTTCCCCAATCTAGCAAGGCAGGCCAACATTCAGATTCAGGAAATACAGAGAATGCCACAAAGATACTCCTCGAGAAGAGCAACTCCAAGACACATAATTGTCAGATTCACCAAAGTTGAAATGAAGGAAAAAGTGTTAAGGGCAGCCAGAGAGAAAGGTCGGGTTACCCTCAAAGGGAAGCCCATCACACTAACAGCGGATCTCTCGGCAGACACCCTACAAGCCAGAAGAGAGTGGGGGCCAATATTCAACATTCTTAAAGAAAAGAATTTTCAACCCAGAATTTCACATCCAGGCAAACTAAGCTTCATAAGTAAAGGAGAAATAAAATACTCTACAGACAAGCAAATGCTGAGAGATTTTGTCACCACCAGGCCTGCCCTAAAAGAGCTCCTGAAGGAAGCGCTAAACATGGAAAGGAACAACCGGTACCAGCCGCTGCAAAATCATGCCAAAATGTAAAGACCATTGAGACTAGGAAGAAACTGCATCAACTAACGAGCAAAATCACCAGCTAACATCATAATGACAGGATCAAATTCACACATAACAATATTAACCTTAAATGTAAATGGGCTAAATGCTCCAACTAAAAGACACAGACTGGCAACTTGGATAAAGAGTCAAGACCCATCAGTGAGCTGTATTCAGGAAACCCATCTCATGTGCAGAGACACACATAGGCTCAAAATAAAAGGATGGAGGAAGATCTACCAAGCAAATGGAAAACAAAAAAAGGCAGGGGTTGCAATCCTAGTCTCTGATAAAACAGACTTTAAACCAACAAAGATCAAAAGAGACAAAGAAGGCCATTACATAATGGTAAAGGAATCAATTCAACAGGAAGAGCTAACTATCCTAAATATATATGCACCCAACAAAGGAGCACCCAGATTCATAAAGCAAGTCCTGAGTGACCTACAAAGAGACTTAGACTCCCACACATTAATAATGGGAGACTTTAACACCCCACTGTCAACATTAGACAGATCAACGAGACAGAAAGCCAACAAGGATACCCAGGAATTGAACTCAGCTCTGCACCAAGTGGACCTAATAGACATCTACAGAACTCTCCACCCCAAATCAACAGAATATACATTCTTTTCAGCACCACACCACACCTATTCCACAACTGACCACATACTTGGAAGTAAAGCTCTCCTCAGCAAATGTAGAAGAACAGAAATTATAACAAACTATCTCTCAGACCACAGTGCAATCAAACTAGAACTCAGAATTAAGAATCTCACTCAAAACCGCTCAACTACATGGAAACTGAACAACCTCCTCCTGAATGACTACGGGGTGCATAATGAAATGAAGGCAGAAATAAAGATGTTCTTTGAAACCAATGAGAACAAAGACACAACATACCAGAATCTCTGGGACACATTCAAAGCAGTGTGTAGAGGGAAATTTATAGCACTAAATGCCCACAAGAGAAAGCAGGAAAGATCCAAAATTGACACCCTAACATCACAATTAAAAGAACTAGAAAAGCAAGAGCAAACACATTCAAAAGCTAGCAGAAGACAAGAAATAACTAAAATCAGAGCAGAACTGAAGGAAATAGAGACACAAAAAACCCTTCAAAAAATTAATGAATCCAGGAGCTGGTTTTTTGAAAGGATCAACAAAATAGATAGACTGCTAGCAAGACTAATAAAGAAAAAAAGAGAGAAGAATCAAATAGATGCAATAAAAAATGATAAAGGGGATATCACCACTGATCCCACAGAAATACAAACTACCATCAGAGAATACTACAAACACCTCTACGCAAATAAACTAGAAAATCTAGAAGAAATGGATAAATTCCTGCACACATACACTCTCCCAAGACTAAACCAGGAAGAAGTTGAATCTCTGAATAGACCAATAACAGGATCTGAAATTGTGGCAATAATCAATAGCTTACCAACCAAAAAGAGTCCAGGACCAGATGGATTCACAGCCGAATTCGACCAGAGGTACAAGGAGGAACTGGTACCATTCCTTCTGAAACTATTCCAATCAATAGAAAAAGAGGGAATCCTCCCTAACTCATTTTATGAGGCCAGCATCATCCTGATACGAAAGCCTGGCAGAGACACAACCAAAAAAGAGAATTTTAGACCAATATCCTTGATGAACACTGATGCAAAAATCCTCAATAAAATACTGGCAAAACGAATCCAGCAGCACATCAAAAAGCTTATCCACCATGATCAAGTGGGCTTCATCCCTGGGATGCAAGGCTGGTTCAATATACACAAATCAATAAATGTAATCCAGCATATAAACAGAGCCAAAGACAAAAACCACATGATTATCTCCATAGATGCAGAAAAGGCCTTTGACAAAATTCAACAACCCTTCATGCTAAAAACTCTCAGTAAATTAGGTATTGACGGGACATATTTCAAAATAATAAGAGCTATCTATGACAAACCCACAGCCAATATCATACTGAATGGGCAAAAACTGGAAGCATTCCCTTTGAAAACTGGCACAAGACAGGGATGCCCTCTCTCACCACTCCTATTCAACATAGTGTTGGAAGTTCTGGCCAGGGCAATTAGGCAGGAGAAGGAAATAAAGGGTATTCAATTAGGAAAAGAGAAAGTCAAATTGACCCTGTTTGCAGATGACATGATTGTATATCTAGAAAACCCCACTGTCTCAGCCTAAAATCTCCTTAAGCTGATAGGGAACTTCAGCAAAGTCTCAGGATACAAAATCAATGTACAAAAATCACAAGCATTCTTATACACCAACAACAGACAAGCAGAGAGCCAAATCATGAGTGAACTCCCATTCACAATTGCTTCAAAGAGAATAAAATACCTAGGAATCCAACTTACAAGGGATGTGAAGGACCTCTTCGAGGAGAACTACAAACCACTGCTCAATGAAATAAAAGAGGATACAAACAAATGGAAGAACATTCCATGCTCATGGGTAGGAAGAATCAATATCGTGAAAATGGCCATACTGCCCAAGGTAATTTACAGATTCAATGTCATCCCCATCAAGCTACCAATGCCTTTCTTCACAGAATTGGAAAAAACTACTTTAAAGTTGATATGGAACCAAAAAAGAGCCCGCATCACCAAGTCACTCCTAAGCCAAAAGAACAAAGCTGGAGGCATCACACTACCTGACTTCAAACTATACTACAAGGCTGCAGTAACCAAAACAGCATGGTACTGGTACCAAAACAGAGATATAGATCAATGGAACAGAACAGAGCCCTCAGAAATAACGCCGCATATCTACCACTATCTGATCTTTGACAAACCTGAGAAAAACAAGCAATGGGGAAAGGATTCCCTATTTAATAAATGGTGCTAGGAAAACTGGCTAGCCATATGTAGAAAGCTGAAACTGGATCCCTTCCTCACACCTTATACAAAAATCAATTCAACATGGATTAAAAACTTAAACGTTAGACCTAAAACCATAAAAACCCTGGAAGAAAACCTAGGCATTACCATTCAGGACATAGGCATGGGCAAGGACTTCATGTCTAAAACACCAAAAGCAATGGCAACAAAAGCCAGAACTGACAAATGGGATCTCGTTAAACTAAAGAGCTTCTGCACAACAAAAGAAACTACCATCAGAGTGAACAGGCAACCTACAAAATGGGAGAAAATTTTTGCAACCTACTCATCTGACAAAGGGCTAATATCCAGAATCTACAATGAACTCAAACAAATTTACAAGAAAAAACAAACAACCCCATCAAAAAGTGGGCGAAGGACATGAACAGACAATTCTCAAAAGAAGACATTTATGCAGCCAAAAGACACATGAAAAAATGCTCATCATCACTGGGCATCAGAGAAATGCAAATCAAAACCACAATGAGATACCATCTCACACCAGTTAGAATGGCGATCATTAAAAAGTCAGGAAACAACAGGTGCTGGAGAGGATGTGGAGAAATAGGAACACTTTTTCACTGTTGGTGGGACTGTAAACTAGTTCAACCATTGTGGAAGTCAGTGTGGCCATTCCTCAGGGATCTAGAACTAGAAATCGCATTTGACCCAGCCATCCCGTTACTGGGTATATACCCATAGGACTATAAATCATGCTGCTATAAAGACACATGCACACGTATGTTTATTGCGGCATTATTCACGATAGCAAAGACTTGGAACCAACCCAAATGTCCAACAATGATAGAGTGGATTAAGAAAATGTGGCACATATACACCATGGAATGCTATGCGGCCATAAAAAATGATGAGTTCATGTCCTTTGTAGGGACATGGATGAAATTGGAAATCATCATTCTCAGTAAACTATCGCAAGAACAAAAAACCAAACACCACATATTCTCACTCATAGGTGGGAATTGAACAATGAGAACACATGGACACAGGAAGGGGAACACCACACTCTGGGGACTGTGGTGGGGTGGGGGGAGGGGGTAGGGATAGCACTGGGAGATTTATCTAATGCTAGATGACGAGTTAGTGGGTGCAGCGCACCAGCATGGCACATGTATACGTATGTAACTAACCTGCACAATGTGCACATGTACCCTAAAGCTTAAAGTATAATAATAAAAGAAAAAAAAACTTAAAAATTTCAGCAAACCAAAATGTTTGTTAAAATAACCATTAACCACATATATATCCAAATATTCATTATATATAAAAAATTTCTTTAAAATATCATGCTCATAAATAGAGTAAGTTTTAATTAACAGGAAAATTGTTTCATATGTTATTATCTTTACCAAAAAATAAAAATCACCACCACCACCACCAACAGCAACAACAAAAGGGGGGGGACATAAAATCTATATAATTTTTTTTTTCTTGAAAACTCAGCCCAAATGGCCACCTGGTGCTTCAAGACGTGAAGTGTGAATACATGTTTCACTTGGAATAAAATAATATCTTTTCTTATTTACATCCAGATTTCAAACTCCATTTTACCTTGAACACAAAGTAATGTGATTTAGTGTGAGGAAAGAAAGGAAAGCTTTTTCTATGAAAATGACTATTTTATGGTATTTTCTAATAATTAGGTCTTATAAAACTTCCCCAATGTTTTTACTACAATGCTGGTAGACCACAGCCAGTCTGTCTTGCTCCAGGATTTCTGATGATCTTATTCCATTAAAAAAAAAGACTCCACAAGTCTTGAAAACTAAACTATATTAGCATGTAGTTTTGGGTTGATACAAACTTCTCTCAGCTGCATTCCCATTAGATAAAACTGAATGATGCATTGGAAACTTGGAAATTAAAAACATGTATCTGTGGCAGAAAGATAATACTGCACACACCATTTTTCTTTTTGCTGCTTCACTAAATCAGTTGATGCTGAACACGCAATAAGGTGTATAGGCCAGGCCCACAGCTCCTTTTGGTCAGGTGCAATTAGGAACTAATGTTAACTGTCTTCTAATGCGTTACATCAATAGTACATGAATGAGTAATAAGCTCTAACTTTTGCAAAATATGTGAACAAATTGATCTACTACTCACAAACTCATTATCCAACAAATTTATTTTTGCCCTCACAAAAAATAAACTTATAACTGACAAAAAAATAAAAAAGAAATCTGATTTGATATAACAGGAATTTTAGGAAAATTAAAGCATTACTAGGAGATTCAAAAACGGCTTCATATAGAGTTGATACCATATAAATTGGGTCTATAGAAGCAAAAGCCTATAGACATACAGGAAGCTGTAATTAAGGTAATGAGACTAGAGCTCAAGTGAAATATGGGCAAAACTGATGAATAAACCTGATTAAGCCAAAATCACAGAGGGTTACCAGTGACTTGGTTAGAAGTTTGAACATTTTCTAGGCATCCAATAATGTGGTTGCGTAGGCACAGGAATAAAACTGAGTTTGGTTTTGGATGATGGACTTTACCTAAGGTGGGTCTTGTTGCTTTTAAAATCATCACTCCCTTATAAAGAAAAAAAAATCTATGCAGACATCCCAAAATAACATTAAGACACTGGGCTTCGACATCAGTCCTGGATTCATTCAAATCCAATCTCTACTTCCTATTAGTTATCTGTATAATATGGGTAAATTCCTTTCTCTCCTCAACAGTTTGCTTCTACATTTTAATGTACATGTGAAGTTCCTAGCCCTTAATAAAGCAATTGTAAGGCTTAAATAAGAAACTCCAGGTAAAGTAGCTGGCACATAATAAGCTCATATTAAATATTAGCTATTTTCACAAACTGATCAGGTTTCTTTTCTTGGACTGCCGGTGACACAGCAGAACTAGTAATGTAGATTTTAAAGTTAATTGAATGGAGGTAAAACTAGGAGACTGAAAACTTCTTCTACATGTTCACTTGTCACCCGTCTGCAGAACAGAATTGGAGAACATCCATAATAACACAAGGAAAGAGTTAGCAGAGCAGATAAGGTATACGATATAGATGATATGGATATACTTATAGATGGAATATCATACTAGGAAGCTGTCCCAAATTCATAGAAATGAATCTTTCAAAAGGAGAGGTGTGAAATTCACTCTGAAATTCAATTAGAATATAATTAGTGACTGTTGAGAATACAGTTT